>NC_000001.11:239062909-239214424 GCF_000001405.40 Homo sapiens | reverse complement strand
GACTTGACGTATTTATGGCTTAACTTGGGTCCTACATCAATCTTTGTCGAGTGATTTAATTTGCAAAAGTAAAGTACAAGATAAGATAGGGAAAATCGTAGTAGTATATACAGAGGACCAGGGACCAAATATTGATGATTGTAGGTTTTTCAGCACTCTGTCTCCTTTCATCAGATTAGTGAGCCACACTCTCTGCATTGGTATATGTGTACCAGACTAAAGTTCCCAAATTAAAACTCAATGTGTTTTTGCATGTTTAGGGTTGCTTAATAATGGGAAGCAATGTAAAAGCTAAAAAGAGGAAAATCTTTTGGCATTATGTTAATTTGGCCTCTTCCAAAGAGTTTACAAATAACTATCTTCTATAGACAATTACGATAAATGCGTTTTAAAATTCTCTTCATAAGGTAAAACAAAAAGGTCATAACCAGCAGTTATAATAAATTACCTCTACCATAGAGCAATATGATAATGTACCATACAGCAATATTAAAATATTGTGCATACATAATATTACATGTGCAAGAAAATAAAACATAAAAAAGGATGTTATTGTCAATTGTTAATGGGGAGAATTTAAGAAGAAATGAAAATCTTGCCTTACATATTTTAATGTATAAGTAGTTGAAGTGGAGCTTTTTCTCTTCCTTTAGGAAACTTTGGGTCTAAATATTCAGTTTTAATTTTTACGAATACACATTAGGAATCATTGAAAAGAAATGTAGAAAGTGAGTCTTAAATATTATTTATCCACAAGCAGGACACCACCAATTACTTCTTTCTTCCTTCTCTCTCCCACAAAAAGTCAAGATTTGTTATTTTTTTCCAACACTCTATTCTCCATAGCTGTATACAATTCTCCTTTTGGTGGCTGAGTGGCCTTTCCTGCAGACCAAGAGCGTGAGTCTGGAAGTTAGCCAGAATACCCTTTTCTAAACAGAAGGCTACAGTGAATTCCACTACCTTCACAACTTCTCCCAAACCTGGTTTCATCACCTCCCCAGTGGTCTTGATACCCAGTGGCCAAAATCCCCCTTTAGGAAAATCTTTGGGGGAAAGGCAAATTCCAAATTCATTTCTGAATCACAGCAAGACTCAAGAGACTGTGCTTCACTCCATATCATCTATTTGGAGAGAAAAATATTTTGCACTCTAGCTGTGCTTCATCATCAACCGATGGAAAAATGTTTTCCTCTAAGACCTGGCAGCCTTTGTTTCCTTATCTAATCAGCATTCGCCGTACCAGTTCCACGAAAAATGGAATTGATTTTGGTGACCACATCAAGTAACTCCGCCAATTTTTTGCTGTCGTTGCTGAAGCTTACGGTAACTATGCACCCGTGTCTTTCACTGTGAATAAGGCAGTCCTTGTTCTTTTGTAAGCTTTTTCGCATTGGTTATGCTATTGTGACCACAGTCACATGAATCGGCCTGAGCCTTTATCTTCAGAGACTTTGATAAAGTTAATCTTTTGTACAAACTGGACATGAGCCAGTATTTATGTCTTTACAGCAGAACAGCCTGTTATGACAAAGCACACAGCAATATTTGCAGCCAATTGATCACAAAGCATATGGATAGTTTCCCCTTCTCGGGAGAATTTCACAAGGATGGCAACGTGTTCATCTGAAACATTTTATGTCTGGGCTATAATGCTCCTTTCAAGAGCTTAGAGCTTTAGTTATGACAATTGATATTATTAACATATTATGAAACTCCGTAAAATTGAGATGGCATTTTTAAGCACTATATTTCAGGTACTGGGTTATGTGCTACAAATATAAAGAGGAGTAGGATGTAGAAAAATGTGTGATTTCAAGATATCCTAATAAGCTTGATTATTTTACCAGTAATAAGTTTAGAGGTTTTAAGGATTTGCCTCTAAATGCTTTTGCATTTTTGTTTATCATGTGCAGTCAAATTATGTTTACTTTCTTATTCCTGGCTGGAGTCTAATGTCAGTTATTGTCTATATAGAAAAATATATTGTCCGTTTTTCTGTATTTTTCTAGCACTGTTATCTTTCATGATAAGATGCTCCACATTTCAGACATTCAGCACTTCAAATAGATTTACTAAATATAGCAACTGATGACAACATTTGTTCTTGATGGTTAATTTTACTTTATTCCATGTACCTAGTTCATAGGTAGAACCTACTTGTCATCCATAAATTTTAGTCTCTAGAAACTATATTTTTACTTGATGGCTATGGGATGAAATACTCATGGCATATGTCCTAATGTTTTTATGTGCTAAATCACTGGCAAAATCAACAGGATAATGGAGTAACAATGGTGAATGTTTAAAGCATTTTTAGGTTCTGCTAAAGTTGAATGAGCAGAATGACAAAGTGTAAAGTATTGAAAAGTTGGTTCTGCACATATTTTTATATGGTTCATAGTTTTGGAAAAGTCCTTTAGCTGATTCAACTAATAGCAAATCTTTAGTATTTGAATGGACTCATAAGATATAGCACTTTGTAGTGAAAGAGTTCTGTATTTTCAGTTATCTGTGTTCTATTTCATCTTCAGTTTCCATCTGATATATACATTTCCTGGGTGGGCATTCTTCTTATATTCAGAATTTCACCCTAGGGGAATAAATTATAAAAATATCAGCATTATATTTCAAATTTTGGCAAACAACATCTTAGGTGTGTGGATTAAGATTCTTTCATTACAAATTTTTATAAATTTTTCAGTCTTAAAATATCAGTTGGATTTTTAAATTACATGGCTATACTTTGTGCCAATAGCATTAGCCTCTTTTTTCTTACTTGTATTGTTGGTTGCAAGGGGGCAGGGTAAGACATCTGAACAAGACAGTAGAAGATTGTCTATACATCCACATTAACTAAACCACTCAAAGCATTGATTTCAAGGATGGTGAGTAACATCATCACAGTTTATAAAAAAGTCTGTCTTGCAGTGATAGATGCTTCATGGTGGAAACAGCAGTATGATAAGATCTGGATTTGAGTCTTTTCTTCCTTGCCATTTACAATGTGTTTAATCTCATTTAATCTCATCTTTAAAGTTGTCAATAATGTCCCCAAAGGTATATTGAAAGGAATAGGTGATGTGATATATTTTGAAAGTATTTTTAAGTATTAGGAAGTATTAACATATTTATTCTTCTCAGTAGGTGTATTTGGTTGTGGTTTTGAGAATAAGATTTATTATTCAGTGTCAACTCAAAACAAACCCGGATGAATGATATCAATAGATGTGGTTTCTTGATTGTCTCTAGCTTTTATTTTCATGATATGCCTTGATCTTGGGACAAGTAGAAAACAGAGCTCCTAGAGTGTATTGGAGGCATGAAAATACAAAGTCAAATTCTAACAAAAGCACTGTGAGTATGGAATCATTTTTCTATGTAAAAACATCATTTCTGATTTACACATGTTGACCTCAGCATTGTATTTAATTTAGAAATTATGGGACTTGCCAAGAATAACTTGGATAAGGCAGCTTGACATATGTTGCTAAAAATTCCTACTGACACATTAGTACTCTTTTACATTAGTTCCTCACGTCTATATGGAACTTAAATCTTGTGCCTGAATTCATCTCAGTCTCCTCTGTGGTAATTTAGTTGGTCTTGGCTCATGGTAATATTGGTAAAAACTAGACAATTATATTTTAAATGCAAATATAAAATATTTGCATTTAAATATTGGTCAAATTGCAAAATTGAAAACTACTTTTATTTATTTTTGTGTTTTTTGAGATGGAGTCTCTCTCTGTCGCCTAGGCTGGAGTGCAGTGGCGCGATCTCCTTTCACTGCAACCTCTACCTCCCAGGTGCAAGAGATTCTCATACCTCAGCATCCTGAATAGCTGGGATTACAGGCACTTGCCAACACACTCGGCTAATTTTTGTATTTTTATTAGAGATGAGGTTTCACCTTGCTGGCCAGGCTGGTCTTGAACTCCTGGTTCGAGACCAGCCTGGCCAGCAAGGTGAAACCCCGTCTCTACAAAAATACAAAAATTAGTCGGACATGATGGTGGGTGCCTGTAATCCCAGCTACTCGGGAGGCTGAGGCAGGATAATTGCTTGAACCCGGGAGGCGGAGGTTGTAGTGAGCCGAGATTGCACCATTGCACTCCAGCCTGGGTGACAGAGCGAGACTCCATTTCAAAAAAAAAAAAAAAGAAAGAAAAGAAAAGAAATTGGCTTTCAAAATGGAGAGAAGTTAGTCTAGAGTTAGGATAATGTATCTTTCAATGGGCCTAAGCACATGGCTGGTTTTGATGTGTAGAAAACCTGAAATTTCCAGTACACAGTTTGACTTAGTGAGGCTGATCAGTCACTGGGTATTTCTTGTTATAAGTAAGGAAATTGAGGTGAATACTCTAGTGCACTAGAACAATGCTGTAAATAAATAAAATAAAATAAAATAACAAAAAACAAAATCCAGGCTTGTATCTCCTGTCAATCTTCCTCCCAACAACATTCCTTGCTATTCCTAAAAAATTAGAATTTGGCAGATGATCAGAAATGCAGGAAAGATCATACTGAATATTCAAAATGTGTAAAACTATGATTCCAGGAGGTATATCCCAGCCTTTTTCATTATTGGCAAATTTACCACCAGATGCTAATAGCAGATTGGCTTGTAAAGTTAATGAGACTGAGCAGCTTTCCTGTGTCATTTTGCAGCCATGCCACGGAGAGATACTCTCTCAGCCAGCTTGAGATGACACTGAATAAATTCAATCTTTTTTCACTCCATTTCTTTAGCTTTGGCTAAAAGAAAGGGAAGAGCAGAGGATCTCCTAGAGCAGTGAGAAAATGGCTGTTGAAGGATTCTTTTTTTCCCTATCTCTGTATAAGCAAGTCTATAGGTCACTCGAGTCCTCCCGCGAGGGAAGATGTTTTGGGCAGATAAGCATCAATAAATTTTCAATATTGGAGTAGAATATCATTAATTTGTTATTCAATAAAATGTTGTTCAAAAGTGTGAAGGAAATATGAAATCCTGTATTGCACTATTTAAATTTGATCATCTTGCAGCCTTCAATATACTGCAAGGCATGATTGGAATGTTAAGGTGGAATCAAATAAATTAGCTCTCACAAAAATCTCTTTCAGTTGTATTAGTATACTTGGTCTTGGAAAAAAAGTCTGACTGCTTTCTGCAGGTCAGGAGACATATTAATAAATTGATCATTGCCTGTTATAGTCAATGTACATTATTTACATTATTTATAGCATTAATAAGTCAAAGCTTAAATCTTCAGCTCTGACTTTGACGTGAACTTAAGGCACATTTATCCAATTGCCTATATGACCTTTCAACTTAATGTTAATTTCAAACTTATTATGTCTAAAAGAGAATTTATTTTGTATCCCCAACTCTTCCTGTCTCATAAAAGTCATTCTTTATTGTTCTCTTTCCCTCAGTGTTCACATCAAAATCCATCAAGAAACCCTATATGCTATACTTTCTTTTTTTTGAGACCGAGTCCCACTCTGTTGCCCAGGCTGGAGTGCAGTGGCATGATCTCAGCTCACTGTAACCTCCGTCTCACGGCTTCAAGCAATTCTCCTGCCTCAGCCTGCGGAGTAGCTGGGATCACAGGTGCCCATCACCAAGCCCAGCTAATTTTTGTATTTTTAGTAGAGACGGTGTTTTGCCACATTGACCAGGCTGGTCTCAAATTCCTGACCTCAAATAATCTGCCCACCTCTGCCTCCTGAAATGCTGGGATTACAGCCATGAGGCTATATCTTCAAAATACATTCCAAATCCAACCCCTTGACAGCTCTCTAATCATGAGGGATCCATCCTCAAGACCGAAACATGGATCCCACCTACGTGATCCATGATTGGGTCATGAGGATGGATCCCTCATGATTAGATTCATGCCCTCCCTCCAGGAGAGGGTGAGTCAGTTCTCCATTAGTTTTCACGAGAGCTGATTTTTAAAAAGACCTGGCATCTCCCCCTTCTCTCTCTTGCTTTCTCTCCCATCATGTGATCTTTGCACACACTGGCTCAACTTTGCCTTCTGCCATGAATGCAAGCTGATCTGGTTGAGTATTTCTCCCTCAGAGTTGTGACTCTGTTAAGGCAAACTTACAGATAAGGTAGGTGCTAGGATTCCTTCAGGTTTGGCATTCCGACTCTTGAACACAACTAAAAGAAAGAAAGTTAAGCAAGTTAAAGATTTTGCAAAAGAGAAACTGAAACTATTGACCTTAAATTATTTGGATGGCGATATTTACTTCTGTTTCTTTTATTTTCTACCGGGTATATTTATTCATGTATACATATTTTCCATAAATATTTACCGAGTACCACTTTTTATATTAGGCGCCATTTTAGATGTTAGAAATTCATGCTATTGAAAATTTAACATTTCTTCTATTTGGACAAAATATAAAACAATTCCTTCTCTCAGAGAACTTATACTCTAGATTTATGTGCATATACTAATGTTAGATTTTGATCGTTTGCATGTCCTTGCCACATTGATCTGGTCACCTCTGGACTTCTTGTGCACTTAGTGTCACATGTACAAAATGAAATAAACCAAGTAGTCATTGTCCATGATGCTTCTAATTTCTATATTTTACTTAGAATAGAGCCATGTATATGGAATCATGTGTAAAAGCTAAGTTGTGAGCACTCTTATGGGTGGGCCTGCCTGTATGTGTGTTGTGGATGGTAAACTTCATCTCAATCTTTCTCTTAATATGCATTTTACCCACTTTATCTGGCATTCCCTGATGTTATTAGCCACCTAGCTAATGACTTCTACATTTTTATGTGAACATATATGTATTAGCATATTATACTATACATGTTTGGTTTTGTGGGTTGCATTTTGGTCTTTCCCACTATCCAATAAACTCTTTATGAGCAAACTTTGTGTCTTAGATGTCTTTCTATCTTTAATACCTTGTGTATTAATTCATTTTCTGTTGCTGTCAAGGAATACCTGAGGCTAGGAAATTTATAAAGGGAAGATGTTTATTTGGCTCATGGTTGTGCAGGCTGTACAAGATGCATGGTCCCAGCATCTGTCCAGCTTCTAGTGAGGGCCTCAAGTTCCTTGCATTCATGGCAGAAGGCGAAGTTGAGCCAGTGTGTGGAAAGATCACGTGATGGGAGAGAAAGCAAGAGAGAGAATGGGGAGATGCCAGGTCTTTTTAAAAATCAATTCTCATGAAAACTAATGGATAACTGACTCACCCTCTCCTGGAGGGAGGGCACCTACAACAGGGGGATCAAATTTTAATATGAGGTTTTGGTGGACAAACATCCAAGCCATATCATTCTACATTTGGCCCCCCAAAAGCATGTCCTTCTCGCATTACAAAACATTCCTTCCCGATAGTCCCAACAGTCTTAGCTTGTTTCTGCAGAAACTTAAAAATTCAAAGTTCAAAGTATCATCTGAGACTCAAGGTAAATTCCTTTCAGCTGCAAGACTGTAAAATAATAATAATAATAATAAGTTATTTACTTCCAGGATACAATGGTGATACCGGCATTGCGTAAACATTCAAAAGAAACATAGGTCAAAAGAAACATAGGTCAAAAGAAAGGGGTAATAGGCCCCACATGAGTCTAAAACCCAGCAGCATAGACATTAAATCTTAAAGCTCCAAAATAATCTCCTTGCCTCCATGTCCTATGTCCTGGGCACACTGCTGTGAGGGTGAGCTCCTGAGGCTTTGGACAGCTCTGTACTCATGGTTTTGCTAGGTACAGCCCATGTGGCTGCCCTTGTGGGTTGCAGTTGAATGCCTGTAGCCTTTCCAGGAGAAGGTTGCATGCTGCCAGTGGCTCTATAATTCTAGAGTCTTCGTGGCAGTCTTGCTCTCACCTCTCCATTAGGTATTGTCCCAGTGGGGACTCTCTGTGGTGGCTCTGCCTCTGTGGCAGTTTTCTGTCTGTGCTCCCAGGCTTTCCAATATATCATCTGAAATCCAGTTGGAAGCTACCAAGCTTCACCATTCTTGCATTCTTTGTGCTTGCAGGCTTAATACTATGTGGACATTACCAAAGCTTATGGTTTGCACTCTCTATGGTCAAGGTCTGAGCAGTATCTGGGGCTGTTTCAGTCATAGATAGAGTTGAGACCTTGCAGGGCAGCAGTCCCCCCACCCCCTCCCCTGAAACCATTCTGTCATTCTGTTGTCCTAGGCCTCTGGGGCTATAATAGGAGGGACTGCTTCAAAGATTTCTAAAATGCCTTTGGGGCCATTTCCTCACCGTCCTGTTTATTAGTACCTGGCTCCCTTTTACCTGTGCTAATGTCTTTAACAAAGGGTCTCTCAGCTTTACCTTTGAATTATTCTTCTAAAAATGCTCTTTCCTATTCTATCTCATGATCAGGTTGCAAATTTTTGAAATTTGAATGCACTGCTTCCCTTTTAGTTATCAATTCCATCTTTAGGCCATTCCTTTGCTCCATTAATTCAGATGATTCAGAGTAAGCAATTACAAGTAGCCATGCCACTTCTTGAATGCTTTCTGCTTGGAAATTTTTACCTCTAGATTATCACTCTTAATTTTGACCTTTCTCAAAGCCCTAGGGCATGGACACAATGCAGCCAATTCTTTTCTAAGGTGTAACAAGGGTGACCTTTGCTCAGGTTCCCAATAATTTCCTCATTTCCAGCTGAGACCTGACAGCAGGGCCTTTATTGTCTATATTTCTATAAACATTTTGTTCACAATCACTTAACCAATCTTGAAGAAGGCCCAAACTTTCTTTCATCCTTTTATCTTTTTCTGAGCCCTCCAAACTCTTCCAACCTGTTGCCATTACTTAGTTCCAAAGCTGCTTCCACATACTTAGTTATCATTTTAGCAGCATTCTACTTCACTGTACCAATTTTCTGTCAGTCCAGTTTGTTTGAATAAAGGAATATCTGAGGCTGGGTAGTTTATAAAGAAAAGAAGTGTATTTGGATCACAATTGTGCAGGCTGTACAGAAGCATGGCACCAGCAGCTGCCCAGTTTCTAGGGAGGGTCTCAGGCTTCTTCCTTTCACAACAAAAAGTGAAGGGGGGCTGGCCTGTGCAGAAATCATATATAGAGAGAGGCAGCAAGAGAGGGCAGGGAGAAGTCAGGCTCTTTTTAATAACCAGCTCTTGAAGAGGAGAATGCAATCATCCCCCTCCCAAGGTAGGGCATTGATCTTTTCATGACGGATCCACCTCCGTGACCCAATCACCTCCCGTTAGGCTCCACCTCCAACATTGGGATCAATTTTCAACATGAGGTTTGGGGAGGCAAATATCCAAACCATAGCACCTTGTATATTTCTTAAATTTAGTAAACATTCAATACAATTTATTTATTTATTGAGACAGAATCTCACTCTGTCATCCAGGCTGGAGTGCAGTGGTGCAATCTTGGCTCACTGCACCCTCTGCTTCCTAGGTACAAGCGATTCTTCCACCTCAGCCTCCCGAGTAGCTGGGACTATAGGCCTGTGCCACCATGCCTGGCTAATTTTTGTATTTTCAGTAGAGACAGAGTTTTGCCATATTGGCTAGGCTAGTCGTGAACTCCTGACCTCAAGTCATCCGCCTGCCTTGGCCTCCCAAAGTGCTGGGATTACAGGTGTGAGATACTGTTCCCGGCCTCAATACATTTTAAGTGAACAAATGGATGATAGTGAACATGTTGGGCATATTGTGGAAAATATTAAATTTCAGAACTTGGTGACTGGATTTTGTCCTTTCTTGTTTTAGGTCCTTATAAATCTGGATTGCAAAATTCAGGGATGTTATGAGACAAGGAGTGATGTCTGAGTAGGGCCTTGCCAGGTGGACGTAGATGCTTGCCAGATAGACAAGGAACAGAGAATGACATTCCTGGCATAGGAAACAGCCTGTGCCAAGGCACAGAGTCAAGAAACAATACAGCGTGTCAGGGGATTCTAAGTAGTCTGTATAACTTGTGAGGTGGGTTGTGTGGGACAGGAGTTAGAGAGGGGGCAGAAGAATAGAAGTAACAGCATTTTAAGCAGAAAGCCTTGTAATTTGAAGCCCTAAAAGCCTGCAGCATCTCTGCAGCCAGTTCATCTTTACAGAAATTTCTACATGAATAGGCAATGACCTGCCAAGACAAGCACGGAACCCAACCAGAGGGCAAAGCAAAGCAAAGTCAGCCAGGCCCCATCCCAGTGTGAGAGCTGTCTTCTAGCTAGTCCCAGATAGAAGACTTAATGAACTCTCAGTAAGGAGTTTGTCATTAAGCAAAAGAACCACCGGGTGATGTATATTTTGTCATTAGTAAGGCATATGTCTATGTAGTTTATCATGTCAGGAAGTGGATAGATAATTTGAACATACGTGCCTTTTAGTTGCTCACAATTCCATGGTTGCCACTTACCAGAGGTAGATAATAACACTGGATGTTGTGAAACTGTTAAAAAAAAAAATGGAAATAAGATAGACCTAACCAGCTCTTCATCACTGTCTATACCTGGGATGAGTTTGCCAGCCACAGCTGAGTTCACTTGGACAAATTGTTCACTGAGCTGCTACATTAAGTTAGGTACTACATACATAGAGATAATGAGGACACAATTCTTGACCTTGAAGATCTTGTGGAGCTTATGGGTCCTTATTATTCAAGTGGTTTCTGAATGGGTACCATTGTTGATTTGGGTATCAGCTGGAAGGAAGCCTCAAAGAAGTTTAAACAGTGATTGAGATTAAAAATGAAGACCTGTCTTACAGAATGCGCCCTGCCATGAATCTTTAAAATATAGAGCTGTATTACTAAGTGACACAGGCAAACACAAAGAAACAGAAAATTGTATAATGTCTCCATATACTTCACATTGAGATTTTAAACATGTTAATGTTTTACCAATGCACCTCAGAAATATGTACTATTTTTTAAAGGAGTTTTTTTTTGCTGGGCACAGTGGCTCACGCCAGTAATCCTAGCACTTTGGGAAACTGAGGTTGGTGGATCACCTGAGGTCGGGAGTTCGAGATCAGCCTGACCAACACACAGAAGCCCTGTCTCTACTAAAAATACAAAATTAGCTGGGCGTGGTGGCACACGCCTGTAATCCCAGCTACTCAAGAGGCTGAGGCAGGAGTATCGCTTGAATCCAGGAGGCAGAGGTTGCGGTGAGCCGAGATCGAGCCATTGCACTCCAGCCTGGGCAACAAGAGCAAAACTCTGTCTCAAAATTAAAAAAAAGAAAAAAAAGAAGAAATTTTTAAAAATGGATTGTATTAATCATGGTTCTTTAAAAATACAGAGCCAATAGGATATGGATACACAACCAGATTGATATTGATACAGATATATGAGAGGATTTGTTATGGGAATTGGCTCAGATGATCATGAAGGTCAAGAAGTCTCATTAGGCCGTCAACAGCCGAAGTACTGGGGAAGCCACTGGAGTAATTCAGTTTGAATCTGCCTCCCTGAGAACTAGGAAATCCAATGGTGCAAACCTCAGTCCAAGGAAGAAAGCCTGAGAACTTGGATGTGGCTTCAGGATGCTGTAAGTCCCCAGATTAGAAGGCCAGGGAACCAGGAGCTCCAGTGTTTGACAGCAGGAAAAGATGGATGTCCTGGCCGCAGATGAGAGAGAGAGCTGCCCTTATTCCACCTTTTCATTTTATCTGGGCCCTTGACAGATTGGATGATGCCTGCCCAAACTGGCAAGGGGGGATCTTCTTGACTCTGTCTACTGATTCAAATGTGAATTTCTTGAAACACCCTCACAAATGTACTGAGAAGTAATGGGTGTTCCTTTATAATGATGGTGTAGCCCTTGAACTCAACCAAGTTGACACTTAAGATTAACCATTATACAGATGAAAGAGAAGCCAACTGCACAATTATATTCACCTTTATTCCTTCCTAGATATATAATCCACAAGCTAAATTTGCTTATTATTTATTCCATTTGTGTTTTCATACCTTTACTACATATGTAGGTATTCATAATAAATATATAGTATTTTTGCTGTTTTACGTAAGAGAATATATATGTTACTTTACAGAAGAGAATATATATGTTAATTTACTATATATTGCTGCTTAGCAGTCCCTTTGTAAATACATTATAATTAAATTACCCAATTCCTTATTGATTAAATTTTATGTTATCTTTTTCCCTCCCTCCCTCCCTCCCTCCCTTCCTTCCTTCCTTCTTTCCTTCCTTCCTTCCCTCCTTCTTTTCTTCCTTTCCAACAGCATCCTGGTGCACATTATTTTACCTGCTTCTCTCCATTTATGTGTGTGTTTCTATAGTGTAGATATTTAGAAGTGGAACTTCTGCAACTTAGGATGTTCACATCTTTATTATTTTGACCTGATATTAGAAAATTGCTCTCCAGGCTGGGTGCGGTGGCTCACATCTGTAATCCCAGCACTTTGGGAGGCCAAGGCGGGTGGATCACAAGGTTAGGAGATCAAGACCATCCTGGCTAACACGGTGAAACTCCGTCTCTACTAAAAAACAAAATACAAAAATCAGCTAGGCGTGGTGGCGGGTGCCAGTAGTCCCAGCTACTCAGGAGGCTGAGGCAGGAGAATGGCTTGAACCTGGGAGGCAGAGGTTGCAGTGAGCTGAGATTGCGCCGCTACACTCCAGCCTTGGCGACGAAGCGAGACTCCATCTCAAAACAAAAAAAAAAAAAAAAAAAAAAGAGAGAGAAAATTCCTTTCCAAAGTGGTTGAACTAATGTATACTTCCATCAGAATTATCAAAGAATTTCCATATTCTTACACAAGTGTCAACCTTTGGTATGATGAGGCTTTCAACACTTATGCCTATTTGTTATTTGTAGCATTCATTGCATTTCTGCTTTAGTTTGTTCAAAAACTGACAACAGGTGAGATTGAGGCTCTTCATATTTATTAGCTACTTGGGCTTCCTTGTCTGAACATTGCTTTTTCATCCCCATTTCCAAGATTTCCTTCATTAGGCCATAAGGAATGATGATTTGGAGATGTACAAAGCAACCCCTCTTGACCTAACACGTATGGTGCTCACATTCACATGGATCTACAAAATTCTGACAATCATTAAGAAAGACAAATTATTTTCTTGAAAGAAAAAAAAAGCAATATTTTCAATTTATGCCATAATCCAAGTCACTTGTGTAAGAATGTTACATTTTTTTGAGTAAGAGATAGTTAGTAAAAGTCACAGATCCCCAAGAGACGGATTACTTCATTTAGGGAAGCAGTACTGGTCATTGCAGTACATAGAAAAAGTGGAGGGAAAAGATAAAAATGTTTTTACTATAATTAAGAACTCTAGTTTTAGAGCATAGTTTTATATAAAAAATAAATTCCTGATAAGGAAAATGCAATGATATGAATGCAGAGCCAAATTGACATATTTCTATTTATTTATTAGGCAGCTAACTATACATCTTTTGTTAGCTTGTATACAGTATTATGTAGATTACCAAATAACATAATTGTTAAGATACCACCTAGCAACAGCAACAACCATGGTTGTCAATGCAGCTCTCCTCTATGTGGTCACTCAGGAATATAAGCGCCTCCCATCCTATAATTTCTCATCTCCAGGGCTCACAAGTACTCCGCATCTGCAGGTGGGGATTAAGAGGTGAGGAATGCACACTCACGTCCTAACTCTCTTAGCCTAGAAGTCATCCACATCACTTCAACTAATAATTGTGAGTGAGGACTAGTCACATAGAACTACTTGCATGCAAGGGAGGATGAGAAATTTAGTCCCTGGCTAGGAAGTTGTTTTCAGCAATAACTTTTTCATACTTAAAGGATAATCACAAGTTTTTAGAAGCTATTAGGTATTTCTTTAATTTTTTCTTTTCTTTTTTGAGACAGGGTCTCACTCTATCACCCAGGCTGGATTGTAGTGGCACAATCTCAGCTCACTGTAAACTCCACCTCCCGGTTTCAAGCATTTCTCATGCCTCAGCCTCTCGAGTAGCTGGGATTACAGGCACATGTCACCACACCTGGCTAATTTTCGTATTTTTAGTAGAGACAGGGTTTCGCTATGTTGGCCAGGCTGGTCTCCAACTCCTGACCTCAGGTGATCCTCCCACCTCGGCCTCCCAAAGTGCTGGGATTATGGGCATGAGCTGTAGCGGGAAGAGCCACAGACGAAACCCCTCAAACACCAAGTTAAAGAAGGAAGGGGTTTATTTGGCTGGGAGCATCGGCAAGACTCCTGTCTCAAGAGCCGAGCTCCTGGAGTGAGCAATCCTGTCCATTTTAAGGGCTCACAACTCTAAGGGGGTCCACATGAGAGGGTCGTGTTCGATTGAGCAAGCAGTGGGTAAGTGACTGGGGGTTGCATACGCCTGTAATTAGAACAGAGCAGAA
The DNA here is from genome assembly GCF_000001405.40 of Homo sapiens. NCBI lineage: Eukaryota > Metazoa > Chordata > Mammalia > Primates > Hominidae > Homo > Homo sapiens. The sequence goes on along the minus strand of NC_000001.11, from coordinate 239,200,088 downwards.
TAGGACAGGGATCTTCACAGTGCTTTTTTATGCAAATAACCAGTTAGGTCAGGGGTTGATCTTTAACTACCAGGCCCAGGGTGTGGCACCAGGCTGTCTGCTTGTGGATTCCATTTCTGCCTTTTAGTTTTTACTTCTTCTTACTTTGGAGGCAGAAATTGGACATAAGACAATATGAGGGGTGGTCTCCTCCCTTAGAGCCACCATGCCCAGCCACTATTAGGTATTTCTGTGACACAGGAGCATTTGTTTCTTAACAATTTACCTAGTATGAGGAACATTTTTTACAAAGCACTCAGTTAACGTCCTGGTTGTTTAGTTTAATACACATCTCTAGCTTCACCTTCTGCTAGTACTGTTTCTTCAGCCCCATGTGTTAGTTTAGAAGAAAATGTTTCCTACCAAGACTTTTCTCTCACTCACCCTGATGGCACCTAATCAATCATTCTTTAAGTCTCAAGCCACATTGTACTTTGACAATCCTTAACATTATCGTCATTTCTACTTAAATGCCCTTTCATTATGAACCCACATCACTCAAAATATCTGTATATTGCTTCTGCTAAATTGGGTTACAATTTTTCCTCGTGATATCTGACTGCCAAACAGGGATGTAAGCATCGTTTAGCCAGGGAACACGTGCAGCCTCTGCCCCACCACAGCATTTGCTCAGTCCAAGTGTTCCCGTGTGAATAGAGATTTGAATAAATAAATTAATGCATCCAACTTCTCCTCTCTAGTAAATGGGCTCCATGAGAGTAGAGACTATGTTCATTTTGCTCCCAATTTGCCTGTACTTGTAACTGTAACTAGGCAAAATACATCCAATATATATGTGTGGGATAAACAAACATGAATCTTAATAGAGCTGTAGTCCTGGGGGTGGGGGGAGAGGGAGAAAGGGGAAATATCTAAAATTCCTCTAAAAGATAACAATCAAAGTCTCATAAAACAAGTGGTTATCATAAAGAGCAAGAAATATATCCAAAGGGTAGGATCTGAATTGGTGAGCTGGTAATGTAGAATAGGAATTTTCTAAAGTGAAGCTGGTGTGTTCTCTTAATGAATTGGGGGATCCTGTTGTTAACTTCATGAGGAACTATTGAAGCATACTGGGAAAATGAGAAACTAAAAGAATGTCTCCAAATCTTCTTTGAAGGGGACATGGAGCTTGTAAAATAAAGTTCTCCAGTGCTTTAAGATAGAAGTTTACACATTTTTGTAAAAGGCTGAATATCTACAAAACTGATGTAGTCTAGCCAGAAAAGATAAATATATATATATACACACACATATATATGTGTGTGTGTATGTATATATATTGAACTATATATATGTGTGTCTGTATATATGTGTGTGTGTATATATATTAAACTATATATATACATATACATAACTGTATATATATATATGCATATATATGAGTTTAAATTTCAACTTTTATTTTAGATACAAGGGGTATATATGCAGATTTGTTGCATGGGAATATTGCATTCCGCTGAGCTTTGGAGAATGGAGCCTGTCACTCTGGTAGTAAGCATAATACTTGATAGGTAGATTTTTAACCCAACCCCTCCTTTCACCCTCTAGTAGTGCACAGTCTATTGTTTTCATATTTATGTCTATGTGTGCTCAATGCTTAGCTCCCACTTATAAGTGAGAACATGCGGTATTTGGTTTTCTATTCCTGCATTAATTTGTTGAGGATTATGGTCTCCAGATCCATCCATCTTGCTGCAAAGGACATGATTTTAGTCTTTTTTATGGCTGCATAGCATTCCATGGTGTAACATAAATCAACAAGCAAAACACAAATAATTCCATTAAAAATGGGCAAACGACATGAAGTGACACTTCTTAAAAGAAGACGTACAAGTGGCCAACAAGCATATGAAAAAATGCTCAGCATTACTAATCATCAGAGAAATGCAAATCAAAACCACAATGAGATAGCATCTCACACCAGTCAGAATGACTATTATCAAAAAGTCAAAAAACAACAGAGGCTGGCGAGGCTGCAAAGAAAAGGGAATGAATGATCATGTGCTGTTGGTGGGAATGTAAATTAGTCAAGCCAGTGTGGAAAGCAGTTTGGCGATTTCACAAAGGACTTAAAAACAGAACTACCATTCCAGCCAGCAATCCCATTACTGGATATAAACCCCCCACAACAACAACAACAAAAATATCATTTTACCAAAAGGAACATGCACTTATACATTCATTGCTGTGTAACTCACAAAGGCAAAGACATGAAATCAACCCATGTGTCCATCAATGGTAGATTAGATAAAGAAAAGAAAATATTTTTTCTTTCTTTCTTTTTCTCTTTCTTTCTCTTTCTTTCTTTCTTTCTTTCTTTCTTTCTTTCTTTCTTTCTTTCTTTCTAAGTACATCAAACTTGTGTTTTTCCAGGCATTCCACTATGTACTATAATTAAACAGTATGTAAAGAAAACAGTCCTTGATCTCATGGCTAAAAGTTCATTGGCCTCTGCTTAATATCTTCATGGGCTGTATAATAGAGAGTCTTAATTTTTGGAATAAAGAAATAATGCTGATTCTGTGAACACATATTTGTTTTTTATTTCTATGTTTGCAAAGTCTCTTGGTATTCATATGTGCTTTTCTTCATCTCTACCTTATTACTTTATGAATACTACTTTAAAATAAGTTCTGTTTATATAATTGCATTCCATAAAACTTTAAGATAATTATGTTTTTATTAACCTCTAGAATTTCTGCTCAAAATGCAAGTATTGGGCTTTTTCTTTTGAATGAAAGTTGCACTATTTATTCATCCACTATCATGTTGTGTATTAGGCATATCCATAGATAAAAAAGAAAATTTTCTTGCTATCCAAAAGTCCACAGTCTAATAAATGGTCAACATATAAATAAAATAAAAATAAAGTACAAATTATGCCTTGAAAGATGCTAGTGCAGTACTGGATAGGTGCAAAGTATAGTGAGGAAAAATCTATCTACAGCAGGCATCATCAAACTATGACCCTTGAGCAAAATGTTTCCTGCTGTCTGTTTTTATAATAAAGTTTTATTTGAACAGTGCCATAGCCATTCAAACATGTATTATCTATGTATCTGTCCATGCAACAATGTCAGAGTTGAGTAACTGTGACAGTGACCAAGTTTGCAAAAATCATTACTAAAATATTTACTACGTTGACCTTTAGAGAAAAAATTGACTAACTTCAGAAAAGATTTTGTAGTTGAATTAAATCTCGTAAACATGAGTAACAGTTATGGCCAGAGAATAGAGTTTATGAGACACTAAGACTAGGCAAAGAAACATGATCGTTGTCCTAGTTAGGGTATAGGCTCTGATTGCGCTAAAGAAACGAACAAACAAAATCCCAAAACAAAAAAAACAAAACTGAAGTAAAATAGAACATTGTGAAGAACACAGGGGACATGCAAAAGCATCTGATTGTTTTCTTCATGGGTAATAGAGATATCTGAAGAAATTTCAGTAGGTCAAAGGCATGATCACATTTAATCTTGAGAAAGATTACCCTGGCAGCAATATACAGAATATATTGGTAAAATTACCAGATGCAATTCAGACTGTATGTACCTCAACTATTTTCTTGGAGATTCTGATTTAGTTGGTCTGAAGTCAAACCTGACACTTGCATTTTTAGAAAAGCTTTGTAAGTAATTTCTGTTGCACATTTCTGGCTAAAAGTGACGATACCATACCATTTAGAAATCACCAAAATAATTCTGATATGAGATAAAAAGGGTGTAAATAAGGGTGGTATCAGCAGGAGTAGGAAGTGGTGACATGTATGCATATTATCAACAGGATGAACATATGTGACCAGTTATTAGTTATATGTAAGAGGCTACATAAATTAGGGCACGTTTTAGGCTTTAGTTACTAGATGGCTTCTAGTATCACTCATAAAAATAAAATCTCTAGATGAAGGGGTAATTTTAGAGGACAAAAGTATGATACTAAAACTAAATATGTAATGTTTGAGGCATGGTTGGTATGCCAAGTGGAGACTTTCCACTAAGCAATAGAATCTACAGGTTTGGCATTCAAGAAAAGCTTGGAGTTGAATCAGATATTGAAAAGTTATAAGCATAGAGGTTCATCAAATTTCTGGGGACAAATACAATCTCTCATGGAAATCATGTAGACTGTGCCAAGAAAACTCAGGGAGAGAATTATAGGAAACACCCACTACTCAAGGGTAGGAAGAGTTTCTGGAAAGAAATGGGACAGTTTATAGTGGATAATTGTAATTTTGGATATGGGAATTAGCTTACATTAGAAAAGCTCCCCTTTTGAGAACAACTCTAAAACCTGGGTAAAATACAAAAATTGTCCAAAGGCATCAGAGGGCTACCAATGCTTTGAGGACTGAAGGGTACAAGATCCTAAAGAACTGTAAATCCTAGAGTGGTGTTCCTGACATCCAGCAATGCTTTTTCCATTAAGACGTTTTTCAAGCTTGTAAGTGGCTACCAAAATTCCAAGAAGCCAAAAAAGAATGACAAATAAGAGGTTGAGAAACTAAATCGAGATTTCTAAAGTCCAGTGGGAATACGAAGACAAAAATTATGGAAATAAAAACCTACTTTTTGATATCCAATCCAGAATTTTCATCTAAGAATCAACCCACCTAAGTGCTTTATCTTAAGATTAAGCGCAAAGTCGAAAATGAAATAGCCCTCAATCTCACAGAGAATTTAAAATTTTCACTACACTAGTTTCTGCAAAATATTGAGCATTGAATGACTAATTACCAGTCACATGAGAAGACAAGACCCTAAGGACCAAAAATCAAGAGAAAAATTGTGAGATTCAGGTTATGGAATTTTTGGATATGGATTTAAAAATAACTGTAATTACATTTTCAAGAAAATAGATGACAACATGAACAATTTTAGCAATGAATACAATCTATGAAAATCAAATTGAAATTATGGAACTGAGAAATGTGATAACTAAAACTAGCAATACAATAAAGTTAACTAGAAGACTACACATAGTTGAAAAGAAGATTAATGAACTGGAAGATAGCTTAGTAGAAAATATTCGGACTGAAACTCTTGGAGCCTGTCACTTATTTTCCTCCAGAATTTTTCCCATTTACCTTTACCCTTTGTTAATTTTGCATTGCAACCTTTCACTTTAATAAATCATGATCCTGAATATGACTATATGCTGAATCCTAGGATCCTCTTAGCGAATCATTGAGCCTCAGCCTGGTCTTGGGAATCCACAATACAATATCAAAAACAAGGTGGGTTTTCTTTTCCCAGAAATTAAAGATTTCTTTACCATTTCAACAATCAGCCAATGTAGTGCACCACATTAAAAGTAAAATGATACTTGTGTGATCATTCAGATAAATGTAGAAAAAGGTACTTGAACATTTGAGCATTCAGTTATAATTGAGGAAAAAATCCTTACCAAAATACACATAGAAGAGAATGTCCTTCCAATAGAAGATTTCAACATAAAACCTACAGTAAACCTCAAACTAATGTTGAAATATTGAAACTGACTTCCTGAGATAAAAACATGAGACAAGGACCCACTATTAACAATTTTTAGTTCATGCTTAGGACAATAATGCAACAAAGTATACAAATTTGAGACAAATTTGTTCTTATTCATGAATGACATTATTGTGTAGGTAGAAAATTAAAAAACGAACAGATGATCCATGTAAGTATACGTAAGCAAATTTAACTTTAACAATGTCACAGATAGAAGAGTTACATAAAACTCATTATATTTCTAGATTCCAGGAATGAACACCCCAAAACAAAGTTTTAAAAACATGATACCATTTACCATATCATCAACAACGTAAAATAGCTAGCAATAAATCTCAATAAAATGTTCAAAAGCCCTGTGTTCGTTTTCTATGGTTGCATACAAATTACCACAAACTTATTAACTGAAAACAATACAAAAGTATTTGTTTACAGTTCTATGGAAAGCTGGTACATACAGCTAGTTTCTTTACTGATGGTCCTAAGAAGGCCAAAATCAAGATGTCAGTCAGGTGGGATTTTTGTCTGGAAGCACTGGGGAAGCATCCACTTCGATGTTCATTCTTGTTGGCAAAATTCAGTTCATTGTGGTTGCAGGATTGAGATTCCCATTTCATTGCTGGAAAATGGCCAAAGGCTATTTTCAGCTCCTAGGCCATGTATTTATCTTGCCACACAGCACTGCTCAAACTTGAAGCCAGCAATGATATGTTTAATCTTTCTCATGCTTTGAATCTTTGACCCTCTCCTTCTCTGACTGCTAGATCCAGATTTAAAGATCTGATGTCATTAGGTCAGTCTCAGTTGATGATCTCCTTATGTTAATACCAGCTGATTTGGAATCTTAATTGTGTCTACAAAATTCCTTTTGTCATGCAATATGACATGACCACGGAAGTGATATTTTGTCATACATACAGATTCTTCCCACATTCAAGCGATGGAAATCATACAAGGAAAAAAGTCATTAAATTCTGCTTCCCACAGGCATGTATTGGAAAAACCATAAAATGTAATTTCGAGAAATTAAGATTTAAATAATCAGATTAATTGACAATGTTAATGGAATCTATATTACAAATTTGCTGATTCTTTCTAATTGAGCTGTATGTAGGGTTAGTTCAATTGCAATTAAAATGGCATCAGAAAATGAGAGGCATTTGATAATTTAATTATAAATATGAATACATAAAATAGCCAATATAATTTTGAAAAGTAAATTTTGAGAACTTACGCTAACAAAAAACAATAGTCACTACAAAGGTATGCTAATACAATGTTAACAGGCAAACAGACCAATAGAATATAACGGAGAGTTCAACATCAGTTCCAAACACATTTAGACACGTGATTTATGAAAATCATGCACTACAGAAAGGGAAAACTACTGTTTTCATAAAATGATGCCGTGTCAGTTGGGTATCTATATGAAAAAAATAAACACAATTAACTTTGACTCTTATCACACCATAAAAAAATAATTTTATGCGGGTTGTAGTATTGATAAGGATGTGGAATAACATTATTTGTGTAATAAAACTGTTAAACCTTTTTAGAACATTGCTTGGCAGTATGTGTATAATAAAGCTGAACATATGCCTAACCTAAGATTCAGCAATACTACTCTTGAGTAAAATGTGTATATTTGCAGAGTTGGAACATATAAACACGTTCACTGCGGCATCATCAAAATAGCTTCAAACTAAAAATCATCAAGTAGTCCCCCAGCATCAGAAGGGATAAATACATTCTTGTACATCCATAAAACAAAATATTACATCACAATAAAAATGAATAAAAATGTGTGTATAAAACACTATGAATGAATCTCAATATAGAAAGTTAAATGAAGAAAAGCCAGCCATTAATTCTGCATGCTGGGTGGCATTATCTTCCTTTTACTGAAGATGTTGAGCTGAAGAAATGTAATACACTTCCAATGTTTATATTTTCTACTAATAAGCATGGTGCTGTAATGGGAAATTCGATAGCAATAAACAAAGTTAAAGTCGAATCCATCTGTTTTTGTTTCTATTTTTGTCTCCTAAGTGTAAGGTTTTGATTAATCACTGGACTTTCTCCCTAAAGGCAGTGATAATTAAATATTTATATGCATATAATTCTGCACATGTCATATATGATATATATAATTATAAAATATTGAAGTATGCATTCATGGCATTCCCTTAATCCTCCCATGACTGGGTATAAATTTCAACCAAAAAACAATTTCTTTTTAATAATAAAAAATGAAATACTGAATAGTTAACTTTGCTCACAAATGTATTTAAATATATGAAATGATAGTTTTTAGGAATATTAAAGGAGGCAATTACATGCAGAGACATAATATTTGACCTAATGAAAAAAAGATATTTTAATGTTTCAACTCTCATATTTCTTTATATATTTATCACAATCCCCGACAAAATAAGCATAAGATCTTAGACAATTATTATTAATTTGACAAAACACAAAGGTTAGATTATATGAGACTCTCAAATATGATGGCAGAGTAGCAACAACATTTATCAGAATATACTTAAATATATATAACATAATATTTATGTTATATATAATATTTTGATATATATGAAATATATTTAATATGATATAAATTTGTACAATATATTTACCTTAATGTTTATAGTAGCCCCAACACTTATCAGACTATACTTAAATATACATTAAGTATTTAAAATATTCCATTTAAATATTATATATTAGTCTGCATTAAATATTTTAAATATTGTATAATATATAAATATTATAAATATTAATATATATTTCAGTATATTCTAATAAGTGTTGAGGCTGCTGTACTCTCATGCAATAAGATATATTGAAGTATATAAAACTATTCAAATACTTATAAAGATTATAAAGATAAAAGTTCTTGGTTAAAAAAATCAGGTTGATCTGTAAAATATAAGAAAATATGAAAACAACCCAGAATAAGGGCTTTCAATGACTTTGATGGGTGATAAATATAATAAATATAATAAAATAACCAACTGGTCATAAGAATTAAAAGGGAATTATAGATATCTAAAATTTTGGTCTTTACAAATATAAAATGGACACAAATATACTGCTATATCATTTCACAAGGAAAATTATAAAATGTATACATTAATTTGTATCTTCATAAACAAAGAAAATCCTGAATGGATGCTATTGTAGAGAAAAATGTATTTTACTATGTGGTAATACTGAGGAAATTCAAACCAATCCTATGATAGGATGCTGAAAGTGACTTCTAAGAAATATCTAACATTTTTGGAATTGTTTACCTTTCAGTACTCTGATTGTGACCACGACCAGTAGAGATTATAACCAAGTTTATTTTTGATTAAAAAATAAAATCTTTAACATTTTATTCTTAATCAGTTAAGACATACTAGCATTGTGTAATGGGAATTGACCTGGGCTGGAAATCAAGATGTTAACTTATATGTGGTTCTAAATAAGTCCTTTACTAGATCTGACACTTGGTTTCTTAATCTGTAATGAATAAAGATAGATTTATATTTTTTTACTTGTGAAATACTGATAAGATATACTCAAGACTCAGACAACTTACTTTAATTTTAATTACCTGGGGAAATTTGAGCATACTTTGTGGCTTCATGGGACATTCTTAGCCTCGATGGACTTTGGTTTGCTCTCCTGTAAAATGAAGCAGTTATTCTGAATAATGCTTAAGGTTCTTTCCTATTCTAATATTCCACGTCCCTATTTTGCTGCTTCTGATTGGTGATTTGTGATATAATCACTTAAGTAGTTCTTTGATATCTGAGGTTCAAAAAGCGATGAAAGCACAACTAATAAAACATCTTAAAACATTATTATTTCTCAATGTATTTCCTGCCCTTATCCTTTCCTCAAGTTTGTAGCCAAAGGTATTTTCTAGTGAGGCAATTTTATTCCTGTTATATTGTACCAAAGCAGCAAAGAGCCCTTTCCAAAGCATTACCTGGATCTTTCGCTTGCTTCCCCTTTGTCAAAAATTCAGTGATTTAAACCATTTTGAAATATCAGGCATTAAATTAGTAATAAGTGAAATTGTCCAGAGAGGGCAGAGAAGTTTTATTTTTTATTTTATCTACACAGGTTGTTTCTATTATTTATTAACTCCTATATACTGTGTTAAACAAAATTATGGGAGACCATATTGTTTTTGGAAAGATCTCCTGCACTAGGCCCAACAGACCAGACCAAACCTAATGGAGTGACTCACTATACAATCACTATACAATCAAACTGAACACTGTACAATCAAACTGAAATTTTTAGAAGGCAGAGAGATCCCAAAACAGACCAGTTTTTCCTAAAAACAAGATTCCAGTCTACCTGACTCAGCATATTAAGGAAGTCTCCTCTGTTTAAACCTTTCCAAAAAAATAACCCGAAATAAGCCGATGTTAATCAATCAGGTGTTTCTTTGTTTTTTGGTTTTTTTTCAGATAGAGTCTCGCTCTTTTGCTCAGGCTGGGGTGCAGTGGCATGATCTCGGCTCACTGCAACCTCTGCCTCCTTGGTTCAAATGATTCTCATTCCTCAGCCTCCCAAGTAGCTGGGACTATAGGCGCATGCCACCACTCTAGGCTAAGTTTTTGTATTTTTAGTAGAGACAGGGTTTCACCATATTGGCCAGTCTGGTCTCGAACTCCCGAACTCAGGTGTTCCACCTGATCCCAAAGTGCTGGGATTACAGGCATGAGCCACTGCTCCCAGCCTTTTTATTTATTTACTTTTTTTTTTTCCCTGTTCTTCTATTTCCGTGTTTTCACCTCATGAAATCACTGCTCTGCGATTTCCTGGTTAGAGCTCCCATTCTATTTTGTAGAATGGAGACTGCCCCAATTCCTGAATCTCAAACAAAAACCAATTTGACACATAACTAAATTTGCTGTAATTTTCTCTTTGACAACTTTATAGGTTTCTGTTTTGTTGCTTTTGTTGTGGCTGTTTTATCTTATTTCAGTTCCTCTAAGGGTGAGGTATGGAGAAGACTAGCTACCTGGGGCACCTCTCGGTTATTAGACGATAACTTGGTAGGTCTGCAATGTGAGTACATTAAGATAATTTCTTTGGGAACTGTCAATTTTTCAAGAGAAAAATCCTCAAATCTCAGAATTTGGAGGCATATCTCCTTGAGGAAGGAGAAGAGGCAAGAAGTCCCAGAGTTCACAAGGGCATCTTTCACCGAATCCTTTTGTTTTCATCCCTGTGCTAATCTCCCTCTACCAACAGCTGCTGATTTTACTAAGCCCAGAGCATTTATGATTAAATTTCTATAAATGTTAAACACTCGATTTCCAGGTGGAGGCTGGGCTGTAGTGGGCTTACCCACTGGTATTTGTAGGATGTCAGTAACTTTCCAGTGGTCCAACTTTTCTCCACTGACATTCTCTTCATTCTTGAGTAATTGCGCTTTTCCGTTTCTGTATTGTAATTTTAGTGAGATTTTAGTAGGAAAGTAGATGGATATATGTGGTGATTCCTCCACGTTTAACAGTGTTGGCCATGGCAATCTTGATCAAGTTAGCTAACCACTGCGCATCTCTACCTTTATTTTTTTTTACTTTAATGTTATAATTAAGGTGAAATTAAACAAGTTAGAGAAAAATGTGAAAGACTTTGAAATGGACCAAAACTATGTTAACCTAAAATAATAAAAAATGTCAGAATCTAGTTTAAAGAGCATTCATTCTAGTGCAAAGGTGCAGACTGCAGCTTGGGACACACCTCCAAGTTACCTTGAGGAGTGATCTTGAGAACAAAAGAGAAACTCAAGTTTGTGAAGAAAGAACAAATCAGGAGAGGGGGCAGCTACAAAAGTTATTTGCCAAGAATTCTCATTGATTTACAGAAATAGCATTGGTTAGTGATTGACTAGACATAGCTGAACTCTAGGGTGTATGGCATTTGATGGCTACCTGGTGTCAGTTAGTCTGGAGTCCACGTAGCAAGTGGCTTTAAGAGACAATTATTTCACTCAGGAGGGAGTGAGATGTGGCTGCTGTTACTTTTTTTTTCTTTTTTTTTTAAGAGGGAGTTTCCCTCTTGTTGCCCAGGCTGGAGTGCAATGGCACTATCTCGGCTCACTGCAATATCTCGGCTCATGCATCTTCCGCCTCCCAGGTACAAGCGATTCTCCTGTCTCAGCCTCCCAAGCAGCTAGGATTACAGGCGTCCACCACCACACCCAGCTAATTTTTTTTTTGTAATTAGTAGAGATGGGGTCTCACCATGTTAGTCAGGCTCGTCGTGAACTCCTGACCTCAGGTGATCCACCCACCTCGGCCTTCCATAGTGCTGGGATTACAGCAGTGCATCACCGCGCCCGGCCACTGTTACTTTTTAAATGCCTTTCTGGGCCCGATGGTTTAAAGAAGCTTACATTTCTCAGATACAGTCTTTCTTTCTTTCTTTCTTTCTTTCTTTCTTTCTTTCTTTCTTTCTTTCTTTCTTTCTTTCTTTCTTTCTTTCTTTCTCTTTCTTTCTTTCTTTTTCTCTTTCCCTTTCTTTCTTTCTTTCTTTCTTTCTTTTTTTCTTTCTTTCTTGAATATTACTCAATGTTTACAAAAGAAAACTGGGCACTGGTGGAGTGTGTGATTCGATGGCATCTCTTGTCCTTTCCTAGTCTTCGTGCTACTTTAAAACTCTATGAGTTGTTGAATACTGAAAGTAATACAAACGATTCTTGTCCATAAGAATACAGATTTCCTTGGGCAGAAGGCTGATTAGTGTTCTGTGGATATTGACCAGTTTTGCATCTATTAGGAAAATGTAGGCCAGAATTTCTGACTGGCCATATATGTTTCCACTCTTTGGATTCTTTAAACCCTTGTAGCGTAATATTGGTTCCCACATTAATGAGTTAATATTTGACATGTGTCCACTTTAAATTCGTATTATAATCATTATTATACCTTTTCAAGATTGACAATATGAAGTCCTAGACAACATTTTTTAGTTTCTATCTTTCGGTGTTATAAGAGCAAAATTATAGTTTTATATTTCAAATTGAATCAAGGAAACATTATTTAAGAAATAATGACAATAAAATAGCTCACACAAATGAAGGTAGAGGAGGATTAAGACAACATATTGAAGAAGACTTGCCATGTAGACATTCTGTCAATGCTCTAAACTTGAATCCAGATAGGCCTCATTTTAAAATGTAAACTTCACTAGTTACTGACAGAGTGATATTGGAGAGCTGAGCAATATCCTTATATCTGCGTTTTCTCAATTCTAAAATAAATAGAACAATTTTAAAAAAGAAAATACAACTTCAAGACTTCCCACATTTATTATGCCAAGAGGAAAAGTGAAGCCCTAGAAACTGAGCCACATCACATGGCTGTTTTCCTGCTCCGGTGCATGAACTTCCCTCCTGATCTTGATGTAACATTATATGTTAACTAGATGCCTTATTCTTTATTCAAACCTTAATTAAATGACACTGGAGATGGAGACCCCAGAGTGTCATCAATAGTAGACAATCACATCTTCTATCTGCATGTCAGCCTTTGTATGGAAACTATTGTAATTCTGTTCAGCACTTCTGTTTTTGCCTATATAAATGATCCTCATTTTTCCCCACATTAGGAGTACTGATCATCATTCTTTGGTGTAGCTCTGCTCCCCATATGGCCACCCTTACATTTTATGCTTAAATAAACTCTCTTTAAATTAGAAATTATTCCTTTTGATTATTTAAGGTTGACATTTTTTGACCAAAAAGGGACCCAAAGTGAGCCTCCCGAGATCCTTGCTGCTTCACTGACATTCAGAGCTTTGGAACTGGCATGAGTGGCTGTCACTTATCTGACTTTACTGGATCTGGCAGTTATCTCTGGAAGCCTTCTCTTTGGTTTTCAGTCTCCCTGGCTTTGGCTGAGATTCAGACTTTATTCAAGCAACCTGAGTTAAAGCTCTACTTTTAAAGGTAAGAATTTCATCTGTTATTTCTCTAAAAATTCTGCTGTTTACAGGTTTCACTTTCCTTTGAGATTAAGGTTCTGTGTGTCTTACTTGCTAAATTATGAAACATTTTTTTCTGGCTCAAATTTGATCAAAGAAAAAACAGAGAGAAAGAGAATCTTTGTTGCATAAGCTATATTTGTGGTTTTAAACTGGCCAAGTTCTGAAGCTCAGTTCAGTGGACATATCTTAACCAATTTCCCATATAATCTTTGGTCACTTAAGAAGAAAACCCATATTATGGACAATTGTTCATCCAAAACTGAGTCTTTCTCCTTGGGAGTTCACCATAAAAATACCAGATGGGCTTATATATAACACTTATAGTGTCACCTCATGTTGTTATTTTTAAAAATCGTCTCATATAATTTATAAAAAACCCAAATTATAATGGCCAAAGTAAGTACCTTTAAAATGCCTAAACTAATTTACTTGCATGCTCAGTTTTAAAAAGCCAGCTCCAAGATAAAGCAAAATAATCAAGAGAGTTATTTTCAGTGGTACTTAAAAGTGTCCAAAAGAGGTTCTAATAAAGTTTTTTCTTTATAAGAAAAAGCAAATAATTGTTTCAGTCTCTAAATGTATAAAGACTGCTAAAATTTATCCTCTTTCTTCCTCATGTCCTCCTTCTTTTTGTCCAATATTATTTAAACTACCTTACCAAGACCTACCTCTTCTTCCTCCACCTCCTCTACCACCACCTCCTCCTTCTCCTCCTCCTTCACCACCTCTTCCTCCTCTATCACCTTCTCTTTCTCCTCCTCTTCTTCCTCTTTCTCCAACTCCTCCTCCTCCTCCAACTCCTTCTCCTGTCCTGGCTCCATTTCTCAAACAGCCAGTGTCTGGCTGGGAAAAGCCTGCCCCAGTTTATCAATCATGGTGAAAGGTAAAACTTAGAGATATACTTTTAAAATTTCCTGATTTTTACCAGGACCCTATGGTTTTTCCAGGAAATTTAAATTAAATATTTAAGCCTATGACCCTGGCTTGACTTTAAAAAATAGTTATTATTTTAAATAAAAAACGAACACAAGCTCTTGTTACTAACACAAGCTCTTGTTAACACTGGAGCCTCTTTATCTGTAATAAAGCCCAACTTATTACAAGATTTCATTCCTTGGAGTAAGCAAAGAATTCCAATGGTAGATGTCACAAATAATCCTTTGTCAACATACAAGTCTCAGCCTGTGGCTTTTCAACAAGGTCCCATACAAGGGACTCATGTTTTCCTTCTGGTTCTATCAGCTCCCATCCACCTTATAAAAAGATGATTCTTAAAATTATAAAATGCTCACCTTTCTTTCTCCCAAAAAGGGAAAATGTATATAGAATTAAATAATAAAACTGAATTACTAGACATAACAAATTTTGAAAGTCTAATCCAATTGCAATCCATATTGCCATAGAAGACACTAAATTATTGAGTAATAAAAAATTACAAAATCTGCTAAAGGCAGCTCCTGATTAATTGTTAACAAAGTCTTCCACTGATATTGGAGAAATCATCTCAGCTATCCATATCAAAGTTCAAATAGGTCCATCAAAACTTCTTCCAAACTCAAATAATATCCTTTGAGGAATAAAGCACTAAAGGGAATAAAGACTAGAATTTTAGGATTTTTATATAAAGAGAGGATTGATTATTCCCTCTACAAGCCCATGTAACATTCCAGTCCTTCCTGTAAGGAAACTAAATGGTAAAAGAAGGAGGTTTGTACAGAATCTGAAAGCAATTAACAACACAGTCATTCTTAACATTCAGCAGTGCCAAACCCCCACATGTTGTTGGCTGCCTTTGCAGCTGAAGGTGGTTATTGAATGGAATAGACTTATGTAGTGAATTCCTTAGTATTCCTTTAGATAAAAATAGTCAATTTCTGTTTGTCTTCACTTGGGAAGACAGACAGTACTCATGAACAGTCATGCCTTAGGGACACACTGGGAGCCAAACTTACTTTTCACAAATGTTTAAAAAGACCTCTCAGATGTTGACCTCTTTAAAAAATCCTTTTAAATATAGTTTGTAGACAATTTTCTCCTCTGCTCAGAGGATGAGCAGAACTCTATAGAAGATGAGATTTACTTGTTATAACAATTACCTTTAAAGGACACAAGATTTCTAAAGCAAAACTTTGATTTTGTAAAAAAAAAAATTAGAGCACTTAGGCCACCTAATATCTTAGGAAGGACTTATTGTTAACATGGACAGACTGAAAGGTATATTAAAGTTTTCACTACCACGAACCAAGATACGGGTGAGAGAGTTTTTGGGATGGCAGGATAATTTAGAGATTGGATCCCAAATTTTTCTTTAAAAACCCAGCCCTTATAGGCTGTCTTCAGGCAAGACATTCCAGACCCTCTGGAGTGGACAGAAGAAAATCAACATAGTGGCTCATGCTTGTAATAACAGTACTTTGGGAGGGCAAGGCAAGAGGGTTTCTTGAGCCCGGGAGTTCAAGACCAGTCTGGGCAACATAGTGAGACCTCTACAAAAAATAAATAACAAAAAAAGATAAAAGATGACCTTGCTAATGCTCCAGTTTTGGCGTATCCAAATTATAACCTTCCTTTTTATTGTTTGTATGTAAGAGTGCTGGTAACGCTCTAAGGGTCCTAACTCAAAAATGCGGAGAACAAAATAATCCTGTAGGGTGCTATAGCCAACAGACTTTGTAACAAGAGGAGTGCTAACTTGCATGAGAGCTGTAAAAGCCACTGCTTTGTTAAGGCAGCTAAAGAAACTTTAATGGGAATATACTTTAGTGTTTTCATTTCTCATTTTGTGGAAGTAATGCTAAACTCACACCCCATTCAACGTTATTCAGTTAGTAGAATAGCTTCATATAAAGTTTTACTTCTTTCAGATTCTCATATCACCATCTCTGGTTGTAATAACCTAATTCCTGCATTCTTCTACTTCCATTGTCAGCTGAAACTGCATAATTGCATAACTCTAACTGTTCAACTGCTCTTTTCTAGGGCTGGCCTACAAGAGATTCCCCTTGCTAATGCTTGATATTGTTTGGTTTACAAATGGATTTTACTTTAAAAAGTATCCTTAACTGAAGAAATAAAAAGTGCTTAAGTTCCAAAAGTCACTTTAAATCAACAAACGAAATTAATTACATTGATTGGGGCTCCTCAATTAACAACAACAACAACAAAACTGCTAATATTTCTACAGACAGTAGATATGCCTTTGAAGTAGTTCATGATTTTTTAATATCACAGAAACAGACAAGATTTTTAGCCTCTTCTGGTCAACCCATAAAAATTGAACACCTCAGGCCGGGCGTGGTGGCTCATGCCTGTAATCCCAGCACTTTGGGAGGCCGACGCAGGCGGATCACCTGAGGTCAGGAGTTGGAGACCAGCCTGGCCAACGTGGTGAAACACCATTTCTACTAAAAACACAAAAATTAGCCAGGCGCGGTGGCACACGCCTGTAGTCCCAGCTACTCAGGAGGCTGAGGCAGGACAATCTCTTGAACCCAGGAGGCAGAGGTTGCAGTGAGCCGAGATCGTGCCACTGGATGACAGAGGGAGATTGCCTAGCCTGGGCGACAGAGGAAGACACCATCTCAAAAAAAAAAAAAAAAAAAAAAAAAGGACACCTCATTTCAAAATTGTTAGAACCTATAATATTACCAAAGTTACTATTCACAATTAGAATTCCAGGTCATTCAAAATCAGATACCCCAGAAAACAAACAAACAAACAAAAAAATGAGCTAGCTGATAAGTTAACAAAAAGAATTGCTCTAAATGCATCTAATTAAGAAAACAATTGACATTAACTTAAAAAATCTACTTTTGATTTTAAGAAGTAGCTTAATCTAGAACTCTAAAATCAAAACAGAAAAATTGGAAAGCAAAAGGGGGAGGATACACCTCTCAAAATGAGATATGGTATGGGTCAAATGATTTGCCTGCATTTCCTGCTGACTTACAGTTATATACATGAGCTAACTCACTGGAGCCTGAAGACATGATTGCTTGGGGAAAATAATATTTTTTAAAACCTTTTTGAGCTATAGCTCATTGTTACAATTGTTCAAAATATAATCCAGGGAAAATATTACATGGCTCCCAAGTATATTTTTCTTTACCTGAGGTCCCTTTTGAGGTGTGGCAATTAGATTTCATCCAGTTGCCACCCTCACAAACATACAAATACATCCTGCTAATGATTTACATGTTTTCTCACTGAGTAGAAGCATTTCCCTACAGAAGAGCAATGGCTTTAACAGTGAGTGAAATTCTGTTTAAAAACCATTCCAACCTGGGGAATTCATAGCAATAGAGGTACTGACTTCACTGGGCAAATTTAAGTTTAATCAGTATGTAAAGTTTGGTCTAGTCGCCAACATTTCATTATGTTTACTACCCCCAGTCATCTGGGTTAGTGGAAAGCACCAATGAAATAATCAAAACTGGCAAAATTAACTGAGGCTTTTAGTATGTCTTCCCCAAAAGCTCTTCCACTGATTCTACTTAACCTGAGGTTGACCCCCTTTTGCTAAATACCAGTAATCTCCAATCAAATTTATAACAAGCAGACCTATGAAATTGTCTCCAGGAAACTATATGTCTTCAATAGTAAAGGGAGACATGTTTAGCTATTACAACGGTCTTATGAAGCAACTAACTAAAAATTATAAATTGGTGAAATAATCTTTTCACAGCAAGCTCCCAGAAGATGGGAAATTTCAAAAGCCACGCAGTCTAGGAAATTTCATCTATTGGCAAAGACTTTTTTTTTTCTTTTTTTGAGAGTGAGTGTTGCTCTGTTGCCCAGGCTGGAGTGCAGTGGCACAATCTCTGCTCACTGCAACCTCCGCCTCCCGGGTTCAACTGATTCTCCTTTCTCAGCCTCCCGAGTAGCTGGAATTACAGGCACCCATAACCACACCTGACTATTTTTTGTATTTTTAGTAGAGACAGGGTTTCGCCATGTTGGCCAGGCTGGTTTCAAACCCTGACATCAAGTGATCCATCTGCCTTGGCCTCCCAAAGTGCTGGGAGTACAGGCGTGAGCCACCGCCTCGGCCGGATATGACATTTCTTAAAGAGCTCTCTTCAGTGAAAATGCTATGGACCTGATCGAGTACTCCTCACCAAACCTCGTTGGTGAAGATTCATGCGTTAGCATTTCTCATCTAAAAAAGAATGACACTCCTGGCTGGACTCTTCCCTGAAAGGTGATCTCTGACTTAAAATAAGTCAACACCAGGTTAGGAAAAAGATGGCATCCGATGTGGACAGCTAAAACACAAAACCCCAGACCAGGTCTGTATCTAAACAAACTGTTTATGCTAACGATTGTTAACAGATGGGGAGGATTTTCTTTTATAAGCTCCAATTAAACTTTCTTCTTTTTATCCCTAATTCTTATGTCTTGGTAGAAGTATCACCAGCTATTGTGAAGCAAACCACTTTTTACAATGGGCCCAAGACTATGCTGATAGCTTACGAAAAGACGCTTATTAGACCCATGGTCTCATGTGTCTTTCTAGTGATTCCCATTTATTCATATTTTAAAATGACAGTCTGGCTGAAGATACTGTACACTCTGGCTTTTGATGATACTGTACAGAACAAGCACCATAGGAAGAGCGTCTTGGTAGAAAAATAAAACTCTAACTAGTTAGCTTTTTTTTTTTTTTTTTTTGAGATGGAGTCTCGCTCTGTCACCCAGCCTGGAGTGCAGTGGCGCGATCTCGGCTCACTGCAAGCTCTGCCTCCCAGGTTCACGCCATTCTCCTGCCTCAGCCTCCCGAGTAGCTGGGACTACAGGCGCCTGTCACCACGCCCAGCTAATTTTTTTTTTTTTTTAATTTTTAGTAGAGATGGGGTTTCACCATGTTAGCCAGGATAGTCTCGATCTCCTGACCTTGTGATCCGCCCGCCTCAGCCTCCCAAAGTGCTGAGATTACAGGCGTGAGCCACTGCGCCTGGCTACTAGTTAGGTTTTACTCTGACACTACCTCAACTAAAACAAAAGACAAAAACAATAAACAAATAAAATGTTGCTCCCCCAAAGGACAACTTGATTTCAAGATGATATAGTACAAATTCGGAACAGGTTTATTTGTCTCACTCCTTCTTTTGGCCAGCTTAATCAACACGTCTCTTTATGTTGGGAACAAAAAATTACACCAAAGATGAATGGCCCACTGCACTAGAGATATGGGAAAATGCCCAAAACACAGTCACCCACACCGTTATATTACAAAGTGCTGACTCACATGCCACTAATTAGAGACAATAACTGGGTATTTATTGGTTAGCTCCAACTAAAATGTCTTGGCTATCTACGGCCATAGTTACCCCAAGATGAAGAGGACAATGTCCTCTGGGTTATACTTAGCTATAAGGTCAAATAGTTCACATGCTGTCAAAACCAACAATTTTTCCCCGTTTACAATCTCAATAGGTATATTCTATGTTCCATTGGTGTGACCATTTAGCTTCTTTCTTTATACCACAGCTGTGTATTAAAGATGTCATTTGACATATAGAGGCCCTAACCAATTATATCCAAAAGGCCCTAAGCGACAGCTGCATTTTCTAACTTGTTATTAAATGATAAGATTCCATACCTTGCTATTAATTAAGTTACTGTCATAAAAAGGCTATATTACAAAACCACATGACTTTAGACATATACACTGTAGCCCAAAAGAAACCTGTGCTATCCTGAAAACTAAATGTTGTGTCTATATTACAGTTAAGTCAAATAACGTGACTAAATTAGTGGCTAATATAAAAACCCAAGTAACCAACCTTCAGATCCGACATGTCCTCTAAACAACTTGCTGAATAACTGGTTTGAATCACAGGAAACTTGGTGACAAACACTGTTACATATTCTAAAAATTATAATCATTTGTTTGTTGTGTTTTATCCTGTTTTTGTCTCCATTACCGTATGATATTTGTCTTCAAGTCAATATACAACTAAAAAACCAAAGTAATGATTGTTCAAAAATTTGCTTTGATTACAGAGATAGACATGTAGCCTAACCAGGTTCCAAGACTACTTTCCTTTTGTTTCTTTGTAATTCGGCCTTGGTCCTTTCTAATATTTCTCTCCTCCATGGTACATGACTTCCTAAAAATGAGTCTTCCTAGCAATGTGAGATTCGATCAAATATGCGATCTGACTAAATAATTCTCCTGCAATGCTTCCTCTTAGAGTTTGAAAGAAAGAGGGAAATGTAAAAAGAATGAAAATTTCAGGATCACCCCAATTTATTATGCCAAGGGAAAAAATGATGCCCTAGAAACAGACTCATTTGACATGGCTGTTTTTCTTCTCTGGTGTCTGGCCTTTGCTTCCTGACCTTTGTGTTAAGATGTTAAACATTAACCAGACTCCCTATTCTTTATTCAAACCTAGACTAAACGATATTAGAGAGATCCTTGTGATTGTTACCTCTTTATGATAAAATGTTACATAACCTTCTTAGAGTGTAATCAGTACTAGCCAACCAAATCTTATTATCTGCATGTCTGTGTTGGAAAAACGTTGTAATTTTGTTCACCAACTCGATTTTTGCCTATACAAATGATCCTCATTTTTTCTCACAGCAGGAGCACTGAGCACCATTCTTTGGTGCAGCTCTGTTCCCCAGATGGCCACCTTCACACTTTGTGCTTGAATACACTTTCTTTAAATTAGATTTTGTTCCTTTTGGTTATTTTAGGTTGACACAATGGAGATCATTTCAAACCATTGCTGTGAGGGTTAAATAATTTATGTAACTTACTTAGCAGAGTGCCTGGAATGTAGTAACCATTAAATAACTGATAACTAAAACAGATACCGGACATCCGTGCTCAGAGATATGGAGAATTAATTGAATTATTACAAATAATGGCAATAGATTTAAAGGGTAAAGCACCTAAGATATTTGACAATTTATCCCAATATATTATAAAAATATGATTAATGATATCAGTCTGCATTATCCAAATAATATATTTTGCACCAACAGGAAATTAACTATTAGGTTAAGTTTCTTCTTCTTGGAAGTTAATAATCAGAATAAACATGGTTAGTTTAAAAAGCAATTTTTATATTATACACATGATATCTTATGGCCATTCCCATGAAAGATTACAGTAATTTGTCACTTTTGTGCAAAGCCCTGGAGCTCTGTTCTTTTCTCATAAAAACTCTTCACATTTCTTCCTCGGAATTTCTACATTCTTTTATGTACATTGACCTTGAGCAATGATAATAACTACTGCTTGTGAGGGGAAATACCATTAGCCATTTTTAACTCTCCTTAAAAGGATTGTTGCTGCTGCTGCTGCTGCTGCAGCTGGAGATAATAGATGCAGAGGTGATTTCGCTAATGAAGTATGGTCACAAAGAAACCACTCAAGGTTCTGGTGCTCTTTCCCTGAAGAACAGTGTAGGGGCCAAGGCAATGCTTCCCCTTCACCCTCTGAATGTTTGCTGAAAATCAATAGACAAAAGAGATTTATTCAAGAAAAGGCATACAAATGTATTTGATCATGGATTTACATGACAGGAGACCTTCAGAATGAAGACCCCAAAATACAAGGGAAACTGTCCATTTTTATGCTTAGGTTCAACTAAGTATGGACTGTCATGTAGAAATATGACTGGACAAAAAGGGAATGATCTAATGCTAGTGGACTGAGTGGGGAAACCCAGCAGGGCCTGTCCGTCTAAATTCTCTTTGTCCTCTCTCTGCAGCTTTCCTTCCTTCTGGGTGTGGGGCAGGACTGTCTCTGGAATGGGGGTCTTATGACCTACAGTCAAATAAGGTAGATCAGGTAAGTTCTTTTTATTTTATTTATTTATTTATTTTTTGAGACGGAGTCTCGCTCTGTCGCCCAGGCTGGAGTGCAGTGGCGCCATCTCGGCTCACTGCAAGCTCCGCCTCCCGGGTTCACGCCATTCTCCTGCCTCAGCCTCCCGAGTAGCCGGGACCACAGGCGCCCGCCACCACGCCCGGCTAATTTTTTTGTATTTTTAGTAGAGACGGCGTTTCACTGTTTTAGCCAGGATGGTGTCGATCTCCTGACCTCGTGATCCGCCCGCCTCGGCCTCCCAAAGTGCTGGGATTACAGGCGTGAGCCACCGCTCCCGGCCCAGGTAAGTTCTTAATGGCAACATTTTACAAAGAAAGGTGGGGGATAAAGAGTAATATTTTTAGGTTTTATATCTGGCTTTGGGGAAAAGAGCTTCTGGTTTCTACAACCTGCCGTGGGGAAGAGAGATTCTAGTCTCTATGGCTAGTCTTGAGGAGAATGAGAGGCATTCATTCTCTCGTAGGCACCCCTTACAAGAAGGTCGGGGAAGGTCTAAGAGAAACTTTTGCTTCTCAGACTGAAGAGCCTTCCTTTTAGGGCATCATTTTCTGATCCCCAACAGCAAGTTGCTCCTCGTATGAAAAACTCATTTTTTTTAACAGATAATTTAAACACTTTTTCTTTCATCCTTCTTTTGCTACAGATGTCTGATTGCTTTTACAACAATTTAGAGCTGTAACAGAGGTCAGAGGAACGCGGGCAAAAGAAAAACAGAAAGGAGAGAAAGCTGTTAAATTTCTGCTTATCCCCTTCATGACAAATGGTTTGTTTTGGCGGTTGGTTGCACAAGGACTGTTATGGGTTCCTTATAATTTCAGTCGCTCCTATTTCACTGACTGTTCCCATTAGCATAAATAAGACAAAATGAACAAATTCCCTCTGTCCCGATGTCATAAATTCTGAAAGACAAAAACCAAAATAAAAGAATGCAATTCAGTACAAGAGGACAATGGAAGTGCTAGCATTACTGACAACAATGATCTTACCTAGAGCAGTACTAAAATAATTTTTGCCCTAAATGGTTCTTAAAGGATTGAAGAGAAGCTGGACTGGCTATACACACAAATCAAATAGGATATTTTATATTCAAAAAGGAAAGGAGGCTAACATTTTAAAATGACTACTGTGGGACATACTTTGTCGCCATGTTATTTCATTCAGCATTCACAATAAAAAATATTTTTTTTATTTGTTGTTCCTTTTTATTTGTTGAAGGAAAGACTAAGAAAAAGACAGTTTTCTTAATCAGTCCTTTGCTTAAGGATCGCTTAAGGCAACCCAATTAAATGGCAGAGCTAGTAATTTAATTCAGTCCTGCACGATGTACTTCCTAAAGTGCCATATCCACTTAAAATGGAAAAAGAATGTAGGCAAACCTTGAAGCTTGGCAGGAGAAAGCAAGACGTAAAAAGACTTAGGAACTAGAGGAGTGAGTGAGATGTATAATCCTTTGTTTTGTTTTAATTTTGAATAAGAGGATTAAGGAATATTTTGTCTTGATATCCTTCTCTGAAACTGGTTAAAAATAAATGTTCTGTTCTTCATAGATGAAAACTGAAGGTATCCTAAATTGGCTGCACAGGCTTTCTGATAGGCAGTAAGATTTTCTTCCATGACTCCTGGATAACAAAAGACTCCCAGCTGACACGCCCTCATCCCTGATTAGAACTATTTAAACCATAAGGAATCCCTAGATGTTCCCCTGTATTTGCTTCTACAGATGTTATTAATTTTGCTTTTATATAGAATCAAGACCTTTATAAGTTAGTTTTAAGGGGTAGTGTTAGGTAGAGGTCAAGGTTAAATTAAAATTTTACTTGTTCCCTTTTTTGACAAATAGTTTGATTTGGACGCAGGTTGTAACAAGGACGGTCATGGGTTAGAAACTTAGAAAGATTACATAACTTTTCAAAAGTCATCACACTATTAAGTAGAGGAGCCAGGACTAATTGCAGGAAATCTTTCTCTCTAATCTGTGCTCTGGACCACTGAAATTAACCCCTTTTCAAGGGATTATTGA
This sequence comes from Homo sapiens, assembly GCF_000001405.40. NCBI lineage: Eukaryota > Metazoa > Chordata > Mammalia > Primates > Hominidae > Homo > Homo sapiens. The sequence continues at coordinate 239,175,688 of NC_000001.11, read as the reverse complement.
AATTATGGTAAATAATTCACTGTTGTTACTGCTACCCTATTATAAATTAAACTCATGTAAACTTTTGTTGTTTCTAGACTGTCATTGATTTATTTATGTTTAACCAATACTATACTGTTTATTCTTTTGATATCATGCAGGAAATAATGCTCATTTATATATTTTTTCATGGGTTTAATGAGGTAGAATTGACGTACAATAAACTAGAGTCTTTCTTTCATCCCTTCTCTTTTCTTAGGCAACCACTGATTTGCTCTATGTTATCATAGATTAATTTCCATTTTCTAGAATTTTAAAAATGGAATCATACAATACATACTCTTATGTGTCTTTTTCACTAAGCATAATTATCTTTTTAGGTTTATCAGTAGATTTTTTATTGCTAGGTAGTATTTAATTGTTGGAATGTGCCATAATTTCTTTGTTCATTCTTCTCTTGATGGGCATTTGCATTATTTATGTTTCTGTGAGATTACAAATAACGCTGCTACAAACATGTATGTGTCAGTTTTCATGATGATATATGCTTTAATTTCTCTAGGACAAATACATAGGAATGAATGCCTGGGCTATATGTTAGGAGTATGCTTCACATTTCAGGAAGCTGACTAAGCATTTTCCAAAGCGATGGTATCATTTTATATTTTCATCAACAGTAAGTTCCAGTTGCTCTACAACCTTGTCAGGAGTTAATATGGCCTGATATTTTATTTTAAGAAGTGTATTTTATTCATTTTAATGTCTCATGATTTTAATTTGCATTTCCCTAATGACTAGTGATGTTAAAGACCTTTTTAACGTTCTAATTTATCATCTATTTTGTGACACGGCTATTCAAATTCTAGCCCCACCCTTTGTATTGGTTTGTTTTCTTATTGTTGAATTTTGAAAGCTCTTTATATATTCTAGACTCAAGTACTTTATCAAGTAGGTAATGTGCAAATGTCTGTTCCCAACCCATGACTTATCTTTTTATAATCCTTTGGAGAGAAGAATTTCTTAATTTGAAAAGTCAAGTTTGCCAAATTTTACTTTTATCATTTGTGCTTTTAATGTCAAACCCAAAGTTACAAAGACTTTATCCTCGATTTTCTCCCAGAAATTTAATAGTTTTAGTTTTCCATTTAGGTCTATGAGCCAATTTAATTTTTTATATGATGTGAGATAAGGATTGAAGTTATTGAAGTTATTATTGAAGTTTAAATGGATGTCTAAATGTTCCACTACCTTTGTTGAAAATGCTCTCTTTTCTCCACTCAATTTCCTATAAGCTTTGTCAAAAAATGAATTGGCTCTCTCTCTCTCTCTCTCTCTATATATACACACACACACACACACATCTATATATATTATATATATCCTATATTTTTTATATATTGAATATATATTTATATATATTCAATGTCTATATACATATACATACATATATATATATATATATATTTCTAGGCTTTTTTTCTAACCCATTAATTTATTTGTCTATCTTGAAACCCATAGCACACTGTCTTGGTGACTTCAGCTTTAAAATAATTCTTAAGTTGTTTTGCCTTTTCCAGGTCCTTTGCATTTCCAGATGAATTTCAGAAATAGCTTGTCAACTGCTCTAAAAATGCCCGTTCTTATAGTAATTATTCTTGCACCATCTCTGTAGATCAAAATAAGAATTGTTATTTATTTTAACAATATTAATTCTTCTTATCAACAAATAAGATATGTCTTTTCATTTGTTTACATCTTGTTTAATTTCTCTCAAGAATGATTTATAGTTTTCAATAAAGAGGACTTTTGTAAGATCTAACTGTAAGAATTTCATCTTCTATGTTATTATTCAAGTTGATGTCTTCTGTGAATAGACACCATTTTACTTATTTCTTTCCTCTCTGGATACCATTTTTTTCCATGCCTGATTACACTGGCTAGAACCTCCACTACCTTGTTGATTGGAAGTGGTGAAAGCATACATTCTTGCCTTATTCCTGATACTGGGGGGAAAGTATGTTATTTGTCATGCTACATTTTATCTGTAGGGTTTTCATAGGTTCTCTTTATGAGACCGAGAAATTACTCTTTTCTTTCTTATTTGTTGAGAGTTGTTGTTTCATTTTATTTTACTTTGAGATAGGGTCTCACTCTATTGCACCACTGGGAGTGAGAGTTTTTGTTTTATTTTATTTTACTTCGAGATAGGGTCTCACTCCCAGTGGTGCAATCATGCTTGAAATCATGGTGAAAAGGAAAGTAAACACATCCTTCTTCACATGGCAGCAGCAAGAAGTACAGAGTGAAGGGGAGGAAAAGCCCCTTATAAAACCATCAGATCTCATGAGAAGTCACTTACTATCACTAGAACAGCATAGGGAAACCACCCCCATGATCCAGTCACCTCACACCAGGTTCCTCCCTTGACAAGCGGGGATTACATTTCAAGATGAGATTTGGGTGAGGACACAGAGCCAAATCATATCATTCTGCCCCCGGCCCCTCCCAAATCTCATGTCCTTTTTACATTTCAAAACCAATCATACCTTCCCAACAATCCCCCAAATCTTAACTCATTTCAGCTTTAACTCAAAAGTCCAACTCCAAAGTCTCATCTGAGACAAGGCAAGTCTCTTCCACCTATCGGCCTGTAAAATCAAAAACAAGTTAGTTACTTCCAAGATACAAGTTAGTTACTTCTCACTCCTAGTGGTGCAACCACAGTCTCCCAGTGGTGCAATCACAGCTCACTGCAGTCTCGACTTCCCAGGCTCAGGTGATTCTCCCACTTCGTATTATGTAAATTATGTAATACTTAAGTTATGTAATACTTACATAATTTAAAGGGGAAATAGGCAATTCAGCAATAAAACTTAGAGACTTTAATAATCCATTATCAATAATTGATGGAACAAATAAAAAAATCAGCAAGGATATATAATACTTGAATGATACTGCATCCAAATTAATCTAATCTACATCTATAGAACAGTCCATCCAAAGACAAAAGAGTACACATTCTTTTTTAATGCTAATGGAACACTGTGTTAGTCCATTTTAAGCCTGCTTTAAAGAACTGCCTGAGACTGGGTAATTTATAAAGAGAAAAGGTTTAATTGACTCATAGTTCCACATTGCTGGAAAGGTATCAGGAAACTTACAGTCATGGTGGAAGGGGATGCAGGCACGTCATATATGGTGGCAGGCAAGAGACAGAGAGTGAAGAAGAAACTGCCAAACACTGAAGTTTTACCTTCATGTAATTTCAAACTTTCTTTTTTGACACAATAAACAATGTGTGTACTTATTGCTGTAAAATTTTGCTGATGAATTGACCATTTAAAAATTATGAAATACCTTGTCTTTTGTAGTAATATTTACTGTCTTAAATCTGTTTGATCTGATATTAATATAGTCACTCCAGCACTCCAATAATTATTATTTTCATGTTACATTTCTTTCCATTCTCTTATTTTCCTTTTATTAATTAAGATGTACTGTATGTACCATAAAATTTATCCTTTTAAACTGTCAACTAAGTGGTTTTCAATGTACTCAAAATGTTATAAAACCATAGCCATTATCTAATTCCAGAACATTTTTTGTCATTCCAAAAAGAAACGCTATACACATTAGCAATGTCACTGCCCCTGGCAATAACTTACCTACTTTCTGTCTCTGTGGGTTTGCCTATTTTGGGCTTTTTCTACAAAGGTGTTATACAATATGTAAACTTTTGTGTCTTGTTTCTTTCATCTGGGATACTGTTTTAAAATTCTTCTATGTTGTAGCATGCATCAATACTTTGTTCTTTTTCATGCCTAAAACATATTCCACTGTATGAATTGCCACATTTTATTTATGTATTCATCAGTTGAGGAACACTGTGTTTTTGTTTATTCATGTTTTTATTTATCTTTGGCATATATCTGTGAAATTACTGAATCATACGGCTAACTTTAGGTTTGACTTTTTGAGGAACTGTTGGAGCTTTATTCAAATACCTGCATCATTTTACATTCCCACCAGCAATATATGAGGGTTTCCACTTCTCCACATCCTCCATCCTCAACAACACTTGTTACTGGCTTATCGTATTTTTTTTTTTTGAGACAGAGTCTCGCTCTGTTGCCCAGGCTAGAGTGCAGTGGCGCAATCTCGGCTCACTGCAAGCACTGCCTCCCGGGTTCACACTGGCTATCATTTTTTTATAGACAGCCTAATAAGTATGAAGTGGTAACAAATTGTGGTTTGGATTTACATTTTCAGTTGATAATGATGTTGCACATCTTTCCATGTTCTTATTGTCCATTTGTGTATCTTCAGATAAATGTCTCTTTAGATTCTTTGTCAATTTTCAAGTTAGGTTTTTGACTTTTCATTCTTGAGTTGAAATACTTCTTTGTATATTCAGGATACTAGATTGATCTTACTTATCAGGTATGTGATTTGCAAATATTTTCTTTCATTCTGTGGGTTGTATTTTTCTTAAAGGTATTCATTTAAGTGCTAAAATTTTTAATTTTGATGAAGTCCAATTTATCTATTTTTACTTTTATGGCTTGAGCTTTTGGTGTCATATTTCAGAAACTATTGCCTAATCCAGTGACCCTGGAGGGTCACACCTGTAGTTTCTTCTAATAGTTTAAAAGTTTCAGCTCTCATATTTAGCTTTCAGATTTGCTTTGAGTTTATTTTCTCATATGCTATGAGGTGGGGCTCCAAATTCATCCTTTTGCATGAGTATATTCAGTTGTTCAAGCACCATTTGCTTTTTTGTTGTGGTTTGTTTTAACTTTTGTTTTTGGTTGGGGGTATATGTGAAGGTTTGTAACATAGGTGAACAAATGGTGGTTTTTGTACACATTATTTCATAACCCAGGTATTAAACTCAGTACCCAGTAGTTATCCTTTCTGCTCCTCTCCCTCCTCTCACCCTCCATCCTCAAGTAGAACCCAGTCCAGTGTCTGTTGTTTCCTTCTTTGTATTCAGAAGTTATTATCATTTAGCTCTCATTTACCAGTGAGAACTTGTAAAACAACTTTGGTTTTCTGTTCCTGAGTTAGTTTGTAAGAATAATAGCCTCCAGCTCCATCCCTTTTCCTGAAAAATACATGATCTCGTTCTTTTTTATGGCTGTATAGTATTCCATGGTACACATGTACTACATTATAAAATCCTGTCTATCATTGATGAGCATTTAGGTTGATTTCATGTCTTTACTATTGTAAATAGTGCTGTAATGAACATTTGTGTGCATGTGTCTTTATGTTACAATGATTTATATTCCTCTGGGTATATACCCAGTAATGGGATTGCTGGGTTAAATGGTAGTTCTGCTTTTAGCTCTTTGAGGATTCACAATACTGCTTTCCATAATGGTTGAACAAATTTACACTCCCACCAACAGTGTATAAGTGCTCCCTTTTTCTGCAACCTTACCAGCTTCCGTTATTGTTTGACTTTTTAATAACAGCTCTTCTGACTGGTCAAGCGCCATGTGTAAAGTACAATGTCTAGGTTCCCTTAGAAAAACTGTTTTATTTTATTTTTTCAGCATAAGAACTATACTTTCTGGTTTAATACTATGTGGCAAAACTGGAAATTAGATTCTTCCTCCATTACAGGGTTTTTGTTTTTGTTGTTTATTGTAAAAGTTGTTTGTTTATTTAGTGACTTTTCTGAAGTAATTCTGTAAATTCTATCTTCTTTGTCATGTGTGGCCACTAAACTCTCTGCTTAGTTAGCTTAAAGGACTGTAAATAATTGGAGAGATATTTTCTTAAACAAAAACCAGTCATTCTTCCAGTCTTTGCTGAGGGGCTGTGTGTGTGTGTGTGTATGTGCATGTCTGTGTGTTGGAGCATGCTTTCAACACTCTGCTAGCCAGTTGGCAACTCTACCTCAGCCTCAGCCTCCACTTCCTGCTTGCATAGAGCCTCAAGGCCAGTGAAAGAGGCTTATTTAGGGCCATCTCAGGTCTTTCTTGGGTATGCATGTGGCTTTCTAGGTGCATAGGAACATAACTGAGTTTTTAAAAGCTGCTGTGAACATATCATTCCACAGCTTTTCTTCTTAAGCTATTTGATTTGTTTTGTTTGCCTCAACAGTTATTCACTACCTTAGGCAGGCACTAAGTTTATTAGTTGTATTTTCTTTTTCAATATTTGCCCCTAGGCAAAAAGCTTTTGGGACTGAGAAAGCTCTGAGTCAAGTCAAATACAGACAGCCTTGCAAGTGTAGTTTTCAGTGAACAAACAGAAAAGTCAAAGAATGAGAACACTCTGGGAAGAAGGCTTGAAAGAGCTCCAGTTTTTTCTGCCCCCTCCAGCGACTATCAAGCTATTGGTTTTCACCACAAATGAGACCTGCTATTTACCAGGTTCCTGTAGAGCTAAAGAGAGGGAAATGTGACTAGGGCAAGTTAAAACACCACACAGCTCACTGTTTTTACTAAGATTTATCCATTTTTTAAAAACTAAATACTCCCTCGATTATGTCAAGCCCTTATTTAATTTCTGGATTTCCAAAAAAGTTAATTCTGCTATTTTTTTCCCTAGTTTTCCTGTTGCATTTACAGAGAAATGGATGCCAGAGGTCTTAGTGTATGTACCACTTAGAAAAATCACCTTTATCATGTTATTTTCAATGTATTAGTATATTTGAATCTGAAGTGTGTCTCTTGTAGGTAGCATATATCTGGATCTTGGTTTTTAATTCAGTCTGACAATCTCTTTCTTTTGATTAAAGTGTTTAGTTCATTCATGTTTAATATAATATTTATAGAATTGAAATTATATCTGCTATTTTGCTATTTGTTTTTTATCTATCTTGTTTATTTTGTTTCTCTGTGCCTCTTTTATATATTTTAAAATTGTATATATTGATGTATGTGTGTGTGTGCATAGTGCAAGAGTCCCATTTACTTCTTGTGTTGATTTTTAAACTGTATTGTACTATATAATGCATTTACCATATTTTTGAGTTATTTTCTTATTTCTTGATCTGCACCTCCGAAGAAAAGGTCTACCTAGGTATTCCTGCTATACTCAGTTATGATGTGAGCTCAGCTTTTCAGAGGCATGGCCTCAGTGCAAATGTGCCCATGAAGTTTTGAATACAGAGCTAGTGCCTTTAGTATTTTTGCAGTTACAGGATTGAGAGGTATATTCTCCTGACCTACAGATACAATCTCACTTCTGTATCACTGTATAGCAAATGTGTCAAGCAGTAGGCTAGAGTAATGGTAAAGTGTTATGGACTGAATGTTTATGTCCATTCAGAATTCGTATGTTGAAGCCCCAACCCTCAATGTGACTGTATTTGAAGACATGACCTTTATGGAGGTAATTAAAATTATACAATGTGGTTATAAAGATGGTGCCCCAATCTCATAGAATTGGTGTCCTTACAAGAAGAGACATGAGAGTTTGCTCTCTCTTTCTCCACTATGTGAAGACATATAGAGAAGACACTATTTACAAGCCAGGAAGAGGGTCTCACCAGGAACTGACTTCCAGCACCTTTATCTGGCACTTCAAGCCTCTAGGACTGTAACAAAATAAACTTATTTCGTTTAATCCACCCAGTCCATGCCAATCTATTATAAGTTTTTTTTTTTTTTTTGAGATGAAGGGATTCACTCTGTCACCAGGCTGGAGTGCAGTGGTGTGAACTCGGCTCACTGCAACCTCTGCCTCCTGGGTTCAAGCGATTCTCCTGCCTCAGCCTCCCAAGTAGCTGGGACTACAGGCATGCGCCACCACGCCCAGCTAATTTTTGTATTTTTAGTAGAGACGGGGGTTCACCATGTTGGGCAGGATGGTCTTGATCTCTTGACCTCATGATTCGCTCGCCTCAGCCTCCCAAAGTGCTGGGATTACAGGTGGGAGCCACCACACCCAGCCTCTGATAACTTTTTATGGCAGCCAGCCTGAGAAGACTAAGACACGAGGTTTAACTCATTTATTGTCTTCCCGTTAAGGATACTATTATCCCTGTCTGTTGTCAAGGGTCTGATAATGGTATTTTTTATATATTTTCTTCAGTTTTCTAGATGTGTGTGTGTGTATGACAAAAAGGTATGCATAATTTAGTTGTTTTATTGCAGCTATAACTGGCAGTATTTTAATAAGGTATCTGCCTCTGCTTTTGGGTTGGGATATATATCTATATTCTATCTATATCTCTATATATATTCTATCTATATCTTTATCTATATATTCTATCTATATCTATATATATTCTATATATATATATCTTTCTCTCTCTATATATATATATTCTACTAAGATATATATATATATCTCAGTAGAAAGATGGGCCACTACTTCCAATTTTAGAAATAATAACTTCTTCCACTGATAAAGGTATAACTTTCTGCAAAGATGATCACCCAAAGTAATTGACACTCTCCTTCTTATTCTCTTTACATACCTTCTCTGCATTTCCATTTATACAGCTTTGGTGGAGTGCTTCCTGTAGTTCATTCTCTAATACAATATATCCATTCAGTGTTCCATTAACAAAATACTATGGCTAAATATTTTGGGAAACCCATACTATGATTTTTATCTTGGTTGTTCAGAGTATAAGGCAGCATACTTAAAGCTATGAGGACTACTGTCTTTTTAACTCAGACTTTTTATTTGTTATTGATGATGAATTCTATTAACATTCCATAGAATCCTTGCTTTGCAGAACACTCTGAGAAATATTACGTATCTCTATGTAAAAGCTTAGAGGCGACATAGAGTTACCTTAACATTCTATCTTCAGCACATATTAATAGCTCTTTCACTAAAGTCATGTTAAATTTTTGAGCTTCAGTTTCTCTCCTAATATGTGATAATAGTGTTGTGAGAAAACAGACAAAATAATGCATATTAAAGTGTCTATTTGAAGTAGACCATCAACAACATGTTAGTTCCTCTCCCTGTAGCTTTTTGTGCCAAGTATAAGAAATCAGAAGTTTTTTAAATTTATAAAACACATTATCCAAATGTCTTACGCCTTTGTATCGATGTCATTTTAAAAGCATGTGTAAACTTATACTGCAAGCTTTAATCAAGGAGAGCCATATTTTGTTATTTATTTTGTGTTCAGTATCTGGCAGTGTCTCTATTGTATAATAAATAATATAATAAATAAATGTTTTAATAAATATTTCTCTTAATGTAAGATGTGGTATATTGCATTTAGTATTTCTTGCTCATTTCTTGCATGGCAAGTTTTTTTTATTATACTTTAAGTTCTGGGGTACATGTGCACAAGATGCAGGTTTGTTACATATGTATACATGTGCCGTGTTGGTTTGCTGCACCCATTAACTCGTCATTTACATTAGGTATTTATCCTAATGCTATCCCTCCCCCATCCCCCCACCCCATGACAGGCCCTGGTGTGTGATGTTCCCTGCCCCGTGTCCAAGTGTTCTCATTGTTCAATTCCCACCTATGAGTGAGAACACGCGGTGTTTGGTTTTCCGTCCTTGCAATAGTTTGCTCAGAATGTTGGTTTCCAGCTTCATCCATGTTGTTACGCATGGTAAGTTTTTGAAAGAGGTTTAGTTATAAAAATGGAAGCATGTTCTTACCCCCTTTACCCCCCAAATTTTAATTGATCTTTATGGAATCTGAACAAATGTTGGAGCTAAAGATAACCTAATTCAGGAGACTTATTAGGGTCATCAAATAAAGTTTACTGCCAGAAAACCAGCGAGATATCAGAGTATGCTTCAGCAGAACACTGGAGGAAGAAGTTTAGAGTATCACTCTAAACTGTAGTTGCCAAAACTACTGCACAGCCTCAGTCCTCAATTGACCACCTTCTGCTTCGTGCTCCCATTATACTTCCGTATCTTTTTGGAAAAGGTTTGGCAATAATTTATCTTCTCCCCACTGTTTTATTATTTGCATGTTTTCCTAAATGTCTTTTGAGGGCTACTAGGCAGGAGGCAGGTTTTATAGCTGTTTGTTTTCCTAGGATATAATACAGTGCTTAAGGAAAAAGAAATATTTAATAAATTATGTTAAACCTTTATCTGCTCCCTATCAAATTAAGACATGTGATTTTGTATTAAAAATTGTCTCAGCTTTGGGGTTGCTTTGCTTTAACTAGACAGCTGAGATCCAGATAATAATTTTAAACAGATAATTTGACTCTATAATATCCATTATAAGCTAATTAAGAACAGTGACCATGCCTTATTTATCTGTGTTTCTCAGATAACTAGGATAATAAACTTCATACAGTTGGCATTCAGTAAATGTCTGTTGAACTTTAACATTAAAATTTTAGAGATGCTTGTATTATACGTTAATATATTCCAGTATTTAATGATGTCAAATTAGCCATCATTTTAAATAAACATCATAATAAGAAAACTTTTTTATGAATGCTAAATTTTTATATTTTGAAATTTTATTTTTCTATTAAACGTCCTTCCAATTTTAAAAGATAAATTAGCTTTATTTATATTTAAAAATCTATTTTTTAAAATTCTTCTGCAGGTCTTACAAATTCAACCCTGAAAATTGTCAAAATGTCCATAACCCTTTATTTTCAAAATACTTTCTTTTCATTTTTACTATCAAGACACACAATAATCCTAAGCAAGAGATCAATATTTTCTCCAGTATAAGTAGGTGAATAGAGGTGAAAAAAATTTTTTTCAATGACTCGTACTTTTCTCATAATGAGTCAGATACACCTGGACTCTATCCCAAACTATTACTATGCCTTGATTCAAAGTTCCTCACTCCCGGAAATGTAGGGTATACTTTGCCAAATGCTTTTAGATGAGCATTTCATACATACAGATTAATTGCTTTTCTCCATTTTGATCATCTTCCCTATGGATTCATTTTTTTTTTTTTTGGTTGTGAGAATTACAAAGTGAATTTTCAGCTGACATATGTTAGTAGGTCATTTCAATATCGAAAATATGATTTGAGAATAATTGTGCATGCTAAGTGCTACACTGTGACTAAGATGATGAAGAGGATTATGTTCTTAGGTAGGTTGTGTTATGACACTATTTTCAGAAGTAAATATACTACCTTGAAAGTCATGATTACACACAACCTGAGTGGTGATGTTCACCACGCTGTTCAAAATTTTCTGACTGGAAGCTGATTTGCACTTAATTCTGATTCATACATCTAATGAAATCTGGCACTTAGAATCATCTAGCCTGAAATATTTTGAAGACTGTTCTTTCTTATGAATTACACATTAACTCTAGCAACACCTTTCTTGTGGGTACAGTAGAAAGTGGTATAGATAATATAAACGAAGTGTAGAATGCCCTCCTTCTAGCCAGGTGTGGTGGTGGGCACCTGTAATCCCAGTACTTGGGAGGCTGAGGCAGGAGAATTGCTTGAACCTGGGAGGCGGAAGTTGCAGTGAGCTGAGTTTGTGCCACTGCACTCTAGCCTGGGCAACAGAGCAAGACTCCGTCTCCAAAAAAAATGCCCTACTTCTGTTATCCATCATCACTTAACTGACATGCCAGATTCCCTGGCACTCCCTTTTCTCTCAGTAAGATGGAATTATGGCTGCACATAGCATTGTATTTTCAAAATGGTTGTGTTTCTGATTTCACTCTCAGGGCTGTGTGGAACGCTCAGAATTAGTAGGCCACTTTCTAGTGTCCCAGCACATTGTTGCTTCCCACTGATTTACCAATAGTCAGTTTACTGTGTTTTCATAAAACATACTTACGATACTTGTAATAGTTATTATTCTAATGAGATTATTTAAATAAATTTTATTTAAACCAATGCAATAAAAAATGGTTGTTTCTATAAAAATTGAGTTCTGAAAAGAGAATAATGGTGACTTGGTAAACGAAACTGTAGTCAGATTAAGAGTGAAGAAGATGACTGGAAAAGATGGGGAAAATACAAATTGAAATGGTTTCTATGCTTAAGGCTGAAAGTGTTGTGAAGATGTTTTAAATTCACTGAAACTGAAATTCACAGATAATCACCATTAAATATGTTTTTTGCAATAAAGACAAAACTCAAATTGTAGAACTCCTGTTCAAAGAAAAATCTTTTTCTTTATCAAATAATGTCTAAATAAATGCACATTTTTTTTAGATTAACAGAAAGTGCTTAAGTACATTTAAAAATATTTACTTGTTTTACCTAACTTTTAGTGACCAGGCCCAAGACACCATATTTTGGCAGGAGGGTTTTGTTTCCGTTTGTTTGGTTTGCTATACATAATTGAAAAGAAGTTTTAAAAATATTAATTCAAAGCCATGTGCTGTAGCTCAATGTTCTTGACTTTTACTATCCTACGTTAAACGTAAAACATACTTCAGAATCCAGCTATTACCATGAAGGTTATTTTATCAGATACTGGACGTAAAATTGAAATTTCATTCTTTATTTATTTTTAAAACGTAATTACTGACCTAGAAGAATTTTAGAGCAGGAACGAATCATAAAGATAACTAGTTCCCCGGATTCTCACTTTATGGGTGTGAAGACCCGGGTCCACAGAAAGAAAATGACTGCTCCAAGTTCCATGGCTGAGGAATCGGAATTGGGATTAGCATCCAGAGCACCTGAATTCCAGTTTGTCATTCTTTCATTTTACTGGACTGATTTCTCTTTCAGGGCTTTGCTGTGCCCATACGCATCTTTCCACAAATATCTGAAGGCATATGAGAGTCTATAAAGATAACACTCTTGTTTTTTGTTTTTCGTCCCCACTCTTCAAGTAACATTGCTGCTTACTTTTTTCATCAATTCTGACACGGCAACCAAATACTACTTCTGGCTCCTTTTCTAGTCTCTCATATTTTACGTAGTCACAAATGACGGAGATTTAGAAAATCTCTCACAGCCAAAAGTCCTTCAGAAACCAAATGAATGTTGAATTATGAATGAATGTATGAATGTATGAATTATGAAGAGATAATTCAGAGAATTATGAAGAGATAATTATAAAGAGATTTGAACTTTGTTCAGATTAATTTGAAAATACCTTCACTATTTGATATTTTAAATCAACATCATCTATTTTTCTGCAAAGAAAATAATATATATTCATTGAAGAGTGTTAGGAAAACAAAAACAATATAGGGATAATAATTGGCTATTAACTATACTCCAAGAAATAATTCCCACTAATACTTAGGCATTTATTCCAATATATATAAACACATTCCCATATGCACATTTCATATGTTGTTTCTACATTTTTAAACATATATTATTTTGTTGATTATTATAATACAATTTCCTATATTAAAAAACCTTTTTGAAATAATTACTTAAGCATTAAGCAATATTGTTATATGGATAAACAGCATTTTATCATTTTGAAATATTTTTCACATAACATTAGTAAAAATGGCATTTCTGATCTATTGACATTTTTATTATTAGTACAATTGAACATTTTACATGCTTTTGATTTTTAATTTGCTTTTCATTAATTAGAAAGTGTTTTTTGCACATTTAAGTACTTAAAATTATACTGTTAGATTTTTTTCCATCTTTATCTTCAAATTTTAATTTTGTTTAAACATTTTGGAATCATTTTTATGTTATCGTCTCTCTTTTCTTCTATGACTATTTTCATGCTGTTAATCTTAAGAAGTCTTCATTTGTCACAATATTTTTTAATGTCCTTATTCTTATATTTTAAAGGTTATTTCCAATAATTTAACCTCTAAAAGTATCACCTGTGTGTCCTTGCCAAATATGTAACTCTCAGTACCTCAGTTTCCTCATATGTGAAATATACATGTCGTTATTAGCTCTCTTTGTGATGATTCTGAATTTTACATGAAAATATACATACATGTAATGTACAGAGAACAGAAATGAACACAGAATGAGTTCTCAGACAATGTTAGCTTGCACTGTTTTACAAATTTAAGATCTGGAGTTTTTTCTTTAAATAAACAGCAGCTTCAGCATTATTCATTGAACACCTCCACCCCACATCAATATATATTTTATATTTTTGAAATATTCAAATTTTATACATGTGTATGTGTAAGAGTCATCAATGTTATTTCCTTGCTCTGTAAGTTATTGCACTCAAATGCTGGTCTTCAAATTGTTGCATGATTATACTCCCTTAATTAACAGAAAGGAAGTATTTCACTAGCATCAATCAAGATAGGCAAGGTTATGCTGTAGTATAAAACAGTGACCTATGACCTATCACAATAAAAAAATTCATTTGTTGTTTGCACTCCATGTCAAATACACATTGTCACAAGGCTCTGAAGAGTATAGTCACTTAAGAACTCAGTCTGATGGGGCTCCATCTTTAAATGGACTTCTACAATCATCCTAGAAGGATAACGTGAACGTGGTGAATTATACATCAGCCCTTTAAGCATCCACTTATGGGTAACCTACATCATTTGCATTCACACTTCGATAAACAAAACATGTCATATGGCTACACATAATTAAAATAAATTTAGAAAGTGAAGTTGAACTATGTGCCTAGAGGAACCAGAAAATTTAGCAACTAAGATATTCATTACCATCTTCTATTTATTCTTTTTTCAAAAATTTTAAAGTATATTTTTGCCTTATCACTTTTCCAGAAAATAAAAACTGAATCATTTTTCAAAATTACAATCATACTTTAATTTGTATCACATTAAATATACAATTTGAAAGAATTTAAGAATTGTATAATTCATATCAATTATGCTGCTCTCCTCATGGTTGTCTTACATGTTTCTTTATGAACTTAATCTTACAACTTTGTATTTGTAGCTACCTTGAGACACATTAATTATTTTTCTATTATATTTCTAATGAGTTATAGCAAATAAACTAGAAAGCTATTAATTCTTGTGTATTATAAGTTGTTATCAAACAATAATTAATCACGAAATTTCCATTGATTCCCTTGGAATTTGTTGTAATTATTCTTTTGGTATACAATTGTGCCATCTGCAAAGGAGATAATTTCTTTAAAGCTTTCCAATAATTAGACTATATATTAATGTCTCTGTTTTGTGTCTTATTGCATTGGTCCCAAATTCCAAACAATGTTAAATGTGCAACAGAAAGAAAAATATTCATTGAAATGTACAAATCATTGCAGATAATTTGGTCTTTTATGTGAAGTAAAAGGCAAAATTAATGTCATGATGTACATTCATATGTCTTCTGCTTCCTTCTTCTCGCTGTCAGTAGTGCAGGTGGCATAAGAGAACACTAAGATTTTAAAACCTCTACTACTTTTTCCGTAATTCTAAGTGATGATAGGCTCTAGAGTAACCCCTGCATTAAATATCAGAGCATATTACTGAATCTTTAAATATGGGATGATAATTCCAGACATGAATAAGGTGAAAAAAGGTCACTCTCATTTTATATAAAAGGAAAGAAACTTACTTTCACCACTGGAACTTGAGGCAGAAGATGGTGAAATGTGACTTTGAGGAGAAGGATGTTTAATCTTCAAGTTTTGGATTTGTACAATATCATATTTGGATATGATTCATCGTCTGTCATGTTCAAAGTATTCATCCATTTTCTGTTGCTTATAACAGAATACATGGAACTGGATAATGTACAAAGAAAATGAATTTATTTCTTACAATTCTGGAGGCTGAAAAGTCCAAGGTTGAAGGACCACATCTAGTGAGGCCCTCTTGTTGGTGCGGTCTCTGTGCAGAGTCCTGAGGCAGAGCAGGGCATTACATGTCAAAGGGGCTAAGCATGCACATGTGCTGTCTCAGGGCTCTGTTCCTCTTTTTATAAAGCCACCAGTTCCCCTCCCATCATAACCCATTAATCCACTAATCCATGTATGGATTTATTGTGATCCGATCACCTCTTAAAGGTTCCACCTTTCAGCACAGCCATATTGGGGATTAATTTTTTTTTTTTTTTGAGATGGAGTTTCACTCTTGTTACCCAGTCTGGAGTGCAATGGCATGACCTCAGCTCACTGCAACCTCCACCTCCCGGATTCAAGCGATTCTCCTGCCTCAGCCTCCTGAGTAGCTGGGATTACAGGCATGCACCACCACGACCGGCTAATTTTGTATTTTTAGTAGAGACAGGGTTTCTCTATGTTGGTCAGGCTGGTCTCGAACTCCCAGCCTCAGGTGATCCACCCACCTCTGCCTCCCAAAGTGCTGGGATTACAGGCATGAGCCACCGCACCCAGCCAGGGATTAAATTTTAACATGAGTTTGGAGTGGAAATGCAAACCATAGCATTTAGTGAAGACTGTTATCCCAGCTGCTGGATAGCAGCTGATGGGTAGAGTGGGACAGTGCAGTAAGACAATGCCCTGAGCTGTTTGAGCAGATAAAGGCACTCACTAGAAGAGCTCTGAGCAGCAAATTCCCAGACACAGAAGGCTAACTGGTGACCTAAAATGACTAAACAGTAAGAATTGCTATGCTGTGGAACATACAGAAAATTTCCCAAGTAAATATTGGCCTTAAAAAAAAAAGGCAGTGTCATCTTTGGAGCTGCAAAGGCCTAAGGCAGGTAGCCATAATGGTCAACAATGGCTTCCTCCATTTCTCTGGTGGTTTGTTGACTGATTCACAACTGAAAGAAGTAATACATTTTGGTTGCAGGCCAGGGAAAATAACCCATCCATGCCCACAAACCTCCTGAATTCTAGTTCCTGGACCTCAAGTTAAGAACCCATGTTGTAATAGATCAAATTAGAATGGGTAGAGTTGGGAATGTGATATGCTTAGAACCTCTTAAACGGCACAAAAAATATGTTTCCTTTGAGAATGCTTGAAGTATGTATATATAATTTTAGAGAATTAATAAACGTAGCAACAACCCTGGAAAATGTTTAAATACATTTATTTTCTTGAAAATAATCTTTTAAGTTAACTGTGTAACGCTGTTACCTGAATGAGCATGGCAATCTCTTAATAATTAGAAATGACTTTTTGGATTGGCAGGAAAAAATATAACAGCAATTCTATGAAGTGCTGTCTAGAAGATTTAGTAAAATGTATGGTGACTAATACAGAAATTTGTCTGTGTTCTTACCTATTATAAAATAAAGATGTCTTGATCTGTAATAAAATTTGTTGCACAAATTTCCAGAACACAAAATGGAATCAATTTCATTCTCAATTACAACCCCAAATATAGGGTAATTGAGTTGCATTAAGAGTTTGCTTCTTTAGGTATCTTGAGGGTGGCATGACTACTTTTATAATATTTCCAAATTATTACAATATAGAGGAAGATTCAGATAAAACCTTTACACATTTTTGTGGTTAAATGTCAAAAATTACTTTGAGGAAAACCTATGTAGTGAGAGTGGCCTTTTTCTTACCCTAAATGCACAGGATAAAATGCTAAAGGGAGGTGAAATTATATTTTATTTTTTAATTTGAATTACATGCTTTCTAACAGAAAATACACTTTGCTATATTTAGTGCTGTAATTAAGAACTCAATTATTATCTTTTACTGATTTTGATGCAAGGCTTCTGGCCACAAAAAGGAGAAAGTGCCTCAGTTAAAATCTGCTGGAAGATTCTTCGTTTAACACTGCTTTTGGGTGCTCATTTTGCAAATTATCACTATTTATATACACAAAATATATGCTTTTTTTATATATACAAAATATATGCTTTTTCTTATCCGTGTAGAAACACTGAAAAAGTATCCATTTGTTGTTAGAAAAACAATAGTGATAAAATGATTAATTATTTTAGTGTTCGGTGAATTGATTCCACAGTTTCAAAATTCCCTTTTGCAAATACTAGGTACATGAGTGCCAATGTTAAATTATAAATATTGCAGTATGGTGAAAATATTATCCATCTGCCACCAGCCAACCTCTGCTTCCCTGGAACTGTAAGCAAAAGTCAAATATCTAATGTACTATCTTGTAAATCAAATGAAGTGTTACGGGAAGAAGAAAGGAGAGATGGTAGGCAAAATGCAAAATAGCTCCAATATCCCAAACTCAAGTCCTAGAAAGAAGGATATTGACTAATGTCTCAGAAGCTCAGCTGCATGCCCAACTATCTGAGGTGCTGGGGGGGAAACACAGAGATAGAAACAGACACTGTCGTCACCCTTAGGAAACATGCAGCCCAGCTGAGAAAGTCAACCTGTCAACACGGCCCCAACTCAGCTGCTGGGCAACCCTCATTAAATATGAGACCAAAGAGGCTGGGCGCGGTGGCTCACACCTGTAATCTCAGCACTTTGGGAGGCTGAGGCGGGCGGATCACGAGGTCAGGAGTTCGAGACCAGCCTGACCAACATGGTGAAACCCCGTCTCTACTAAAGATATAAAAATTAGCCAGGCGTGGTGGTGTGTACCTGTAAACCCAGCTACTCAGGAGGCTGAGGCAGGAGAATCACTTAAACCTGGGAGGCGGAGGTTGCAGTGAGCTGAGATTGAGCCACTGCACTCCAGCTTAGGCGACAGAGCGAGACTCTGTCGCAAAAAAAAAAAAAAAAAAAAAAAAAAAAAAAAATTATGAGACCAGAACTGAGGAACTGGAGCATGATACGAGGAATCAGAAAAATATCTGAGGTCAGAGAAAACCTCAAATAATATGCACGGAATATGCAAATTTAGAAATAATTTATGACCAATTTCAAGGCAGAACACTGGGAAGGCCGGACACTGGGAAGGCCAGTTGCTAGGGATGATAAACTGTTTTCAGAGATAATCAAGGACCTAGACCTAGAATGTAACTGTAGCAGGGTCTTGGCAAAAGCAGCAGTTCTCAATGGAGTCCTAAAATCCACCATGAAGAAACAGTGATATCTCTCAAGGTAGCCCCAGAGGAGTGATGGCCCAGCCATGGAGTCTTACAGTTATGTAGTAGAACGGGGCTGCTAAGGAAAATCCTATCTCTACTACAACTCCATATGTATATCCATTTTTGTTCATGGTTCCTGGATCATAACTCTCACAGCCCTTGTTATTTCCTAAGTGACTGAAACAATAAGCATAACTTTTGTTAAAGCATTTGGTCTTTTGTCCTTGGTTCCTGAATTGGTTTCAGAACAGCTTCAGAGCAACAAAAGTGAAAGACAGTGTTTTGTTATCATGTTGGGGCACTTTAGGCCTCGAAAGCAGGCCTCAGAAAACAGAATTCCTCTCTCAGACCTTCTCCTGCCCTCTTTCACCTCTTTTTCTCCCCAAGGCAGGAATATTCCTCTGCCTTTCTGTCTTAGCGCTGCCCAGAAGTAAAGTCTCTGACCTGTTTTGTCTGATTGTAGGTCATAAGGCTCCCATTTCGGAAGGGGTCCTGCCCCATAGCCAGGTGGAAGGAAGGCTGCACAGAGAGGCCAAGAAAAACCTAAACGGACAGCCTTTCTGGGTTTTCCCACTCAGCCTATTAGTATTAGATCATTTCCTTTTTGCCCAATCATATATCTACACAGTTGGCCATGCTTCCATTATGTTTACTTGGTGAAGTCTCCATAAAAGATCCAAGAGGATGAAGTTTGGGTAGCTTCCAGAACATTGGGAGGTTCCTAGAAGGGGGCATGAAAAGAACACTGGGAGGTTCCAGAACCCAGTGGCTTCCAGAATGCTGGGAGGTTCCATCTAGGGAGGGCATGAAAACGCTATGCCCCTTTCTCCATACCTTACCCCAAGCGTCTCTTTATCTGCATCCTTTGTAATATTCTTTATAATAAACTGGTAAACATAAGAGTTTCCCTGAGTTCTGCGAGCCACTCTAACAAATTAATTGAATCTAAGGAGGAGGTCGTGGGAACCCTGATTTATAGCTGGTGGGTCAGAAGTACAGGAAAAACAACCTGAGACTTGCAACTGGTGTCTGAAGCACTCTCTCCTGGCAGTCAGGGTAGAATGGGAGGACACCCAGCTGGTGTCTGCTGCAGAATTGATTGCTTGCTTGTGTGGGGAAAAATTCCCCACATATCTGGTGTCAGAAGCATATTATGAGAGTATAGTGAATGGAACAATTTGTTTTTTTCCTAAACAGCACCACTTACATGTAAATGCACTGCTCAGCTTCCCTAGGAACACAATTGACAGATGGTCCCAGCAGCTGCCATGGTGGATTCACCACTGCACTCATGCCAAGGCCATGCTTCTCCCACGCTTTTCACAGCTGATGGTAGAGCACAGCAGAGGAACCAAGTGTTGGCCTATTCCCATAGTATGTGGGATTCTTCTTGTGGAGGACTTTGAGTGCAGGGCACCCCTTAGTCTGGTTGAAGCTTTTTCAGAACTACACTGTAGTGTCAGATGCTTTCTACCTCATCTGTTTCACTTGCTCCTCTCCTTTCACAGATCTGCATCACAGACTGAAAGCTGTTCCTGTCTACTTCTACTTTTTCCCTTTTATCTATCCCAGACATTTCCCCTAATAAATCTCTTGAACATCTAGTCCTATCTTGGTATCTGCTTCTTGGAGGCCCCAAACCAAAAAACACCAGAGCCTATCTTCAGATTATCCCTCTCCTTCTTTTTCTCAATTGCCAGCACCACATTAAGGTCTCATTCATTCCTACTACATTCTCTATCCTGCACTTCCTGTATTTGAACTTCCTCCACCCTGCCAAGCTGCTGCTTTTCCATTTTCATTCCAGCTCCTAACCATCCTTTCTTTTAGACTCCAGATTATTTTGTTTTATGCCTACATATCTGACTTTAACTTGTGAGAACATATGCAATGGCGTATCTTTAATGGCTTAATAATAGACTCTCAGGGCAAAAAAATCTCTGATTTGTAGCAGTGACTATTTCCATTGTATAAAAATTCTCACTATGGTCCATTTCAAACTCCCAACATAGATCACTTGAAGTGCAGTTTAGATGAGATGTACACAGTCACCTCTTGCAACCTACACAAGCTTGGCTTTGACACATCACTGTATTACCTCTCTTCTCAAGTCATCCAGGTTCTAGTCCCCATCTACAGGAAAGACCATTTGTAAAAATGTTCTCTCTTTTATGGCCATCCTGAACAGCATTGAGATAAGTGTAAATCGTAGTCTCTGGGATTCTTTTTTTTACCTCTTGCTTCTCTTTGTTTGTGCTGCTGTAATGAAATACCTGACACTAGGTAATTTGTAAAGAACCTGAATTTATTTTATTGTGGTTCTGAAGGCTGGGAAGTCCAAGATCAAGGTACTGGCATTTGATGCCTGGTGACAGCCTGGGCTCTGCTTCCAAGTTGTACCTTTAATGCATCCCCCAGAGGGGACAAGTGTGGTGTCCTCACATGATAGAGGAAACTGAAGGGCAAAAGAGGATGAATGCTGTAATCTTAAATGGCAGAAGGAACTGAAGAATAAAAAGGAGGTAAGCTCTGTGTTCTCACATGGCAGAAGAGTGGAAGATTAAAATGGGCCTAACCTCCTTTCTTCCAGCCCTTTTACAGGGCACTAATCCATTCATCAGGAAGGAGCCCTTATGACTTAATAACTTCCTCAAAAGGTCCATCTCTTAATACTACCCCAATAAGGTAGTTTCAACATGAATTTTGGAGAGGACACTTTCAAACCACAGCATTCTGCCCTTAGTAGCACCCCCAAATTCATGCCTTCCTAGATACAAAATACATTCATTCCATTCCCGTAGCCCCCAGAGTCTTAACTCATTTCAGGACCCACTTAAAAGTCAAAAGTCTAGAGTCTCATCTAAATCAGATACGAGTGAGATTCAAAGTACAGTTCACCCTAAGACAAATGCCCTTCCTACTGTGGGCCTGTGAAATCAAACATGCTATGAGCTTCCTAAACTGCAATGGTGGGAAAGGAATAGCGTAGGCGTTACCATTCCAAGAGGTATAAATAGGCAAGAATAAAGGCATAACAGGTTCCAAGTAATCCCCAAACCGCACAGGACAATCAATAGTAAGGTTAGAGAATAATCTTTGACTCCAACTCCATGTCCTACCTCCTGGATACACTGGGGTGAGGTGTCAGCCTTCAACCTCATAGAGGGAAGCAAATATAAATTTAAAGTTGTCAGATTCTTGGATATTAAAGACACATGACAAGATTTTACATAAACTTACAGAGCAGGAAATATCACATTCCTTGTATTCAGAATTATTATCTCTGTGATGGTGGGGTCTTGCTGTGAGGTTGCTGGAAGGCCACAACATTTTGGATTGATTGTACAGGTGTTTAAAAAATGAAACAAAACAAAACAAGGCCTTTCTTCTCTGTAAGATGCCCTTTGCCAATATTATGGTGAGAAAGAAAAAGGAACCTTATAGAAATATGCAGAAAATGAATTGGTTTGAGAACTAGAATGCTGCTCCAACTGATGGTTTCTCTCTTGGAGAGGGGTAGAGTTGGCCTTAACTTCACAGAAGCTACTGGAGATGGACTTAGCACTTTTTTGGTAAAAGATATGCTAACCTTCCCATCATACTCTGAGGAAATAATCTGAGCAGAGTTCTCAACTTTAGGTTTTCCAAATTGGATAACTTGATGAAATAACAATGAAAATTAATTTCCTTGTTCCCACATTGTCCAAACTGATTGCTGCAGACATCTCATCTCTCTTGCTAGAATGGTTACTGCAAAATATATTTCCCTTGTAAATGTTTTGGTTCTTCCTCTTCCTAAATCAACATTCCTTAAATATATTTTCTGTAAACTAAGATTCTTTTCAGATTCTAAAAGTTATAATGATTGCTCCATTCTTCCAGTCACCCAGAAATAAAAAATAGAGAGATTTTGTCCCTCTTATTATTATATCTGATCAACTGCCTCCTCATACAGATTTTATATCTGCAATATTTACAAAGTTATACCTGTTCATTTATTGCTTATTACTTTTAATGTTAGTAATCTCTATATTATAACTTTCTCTTATGTAGGAAAAGTATAGAAAAGACCTCAAGAACATAAGCATTGAAAGCAGATTCTTGCGTGAAAACTGATGCCAACACTAGAATTTCCTCCTTAGGAGATGGACATGCACATCGGAAGACATGTGACATAATGAGACTCAATGTCAGCACTTCTATTGACTAATTTTGTGAGTTTTAGAGATTTAATCTCTGTAATCTTTAATTTCTTCTTCCCTATAAATAATGATCATAAAATAATGCCTATTTTGAGAGCTATTGGATGATTAAAGGTGAAAATGTATGTTAATTGCTTATTATTTTTTTCTTGCATTTGGTAAGGATGTAACAAATACTACTCATTGTTATTATACATCAGTAGCAGTGCTTCCCAAATCCTAATTCAGTCACCTCATATAAGTAGCTTGAAACTGACCATAGTGGGAATATTTACACCACATAAATTGGCAAACAATACAAAACAGTTTGTTTTATTTGTGTGTGTGTGTGTGTATGTGTGTGTGTGTTTCTTCCTAGGGAATCTACTACTAAACATTTACTAGTACACCAGTGATGTTGGGTTGATCAATATACTTTGATACAGTTATTTTAAAGAGGTCAAAGATAAAATGATGACCAAATGAGTAAGCAGAATGAGTTCATTCCTTGTATAAGTTGGCCAGGAAACGAAACAGATCCTCAATCAGGAAGCTAGAACTAAAAGAAAAATAATTAGATTGCTAAGAGGCTTGGCCCTTCCTTTGACTTGAATTATGTTGAGATGTGTGACTCTGGTGGATACTAAAAGTCTATTAAACTTCAGTAGCCCGTAAGCTAGCTTCTATGTAGTGAATCACAAGATAAAAATGATGTCATATTTCATATGTCAGTGTATTTGGATTTTACATTCTACATCAACTTGCATACTAGTCTTCCATAAATAATTTCCTGATTGTTCCAATCTTGTCTCTGCTGTGCTATGGAGCAGGTGGGGAAGAGAGCTTAGGTGTCCCCTCTCAAGTCATCAGAGGACTGAGGGAGAGCTGTGGCATTTATTGGCCAATATAGTTGTAAGAGTGGTAATCAGGGACCCCAGAGATATGGTAAGTTTGAGATTAACCATCCTTCAGTATCTCCCAACAAGAAAATTCTCTTTCAAATACCAATTGTAGTTTTCCGCTTTATTTTCTACCAAGCACTTTTTCGTCTACTATAAGCATCTTAATTCAGACTATTTCATCTTGTTTGTGTTGTTGCAATCTCCTCCCAAATATATATTTCCAGCTTCTAATATTTTTCTATCATAATTCTTCCTATGTCCACAAAGAGAGAGACAGAGAGTGAGAGAGAGAGAAAGGATCTTCTCATTAATTTGTTTTATCTAAAGTATTTTGTACAAACTCATCTTTTGAAATTCAAGATTCTGGCCAATATGGTTTTATCCTGCTTTTTCAGATTTGTCTTATATTCCACAATCTCATATACCATACAGACAACACAGACCGAGTTATTTATTTGTGTTACATGATTATGACCATTGTGCTCCATGCAGTTGGCTAAGGCTATTTCCTACTTGCACACCTTTCTCTACCATCTCTGCTTGCCACAATCACTTAAAATTTGCAGCACACATTTCACGGTTCAATAGTACCTTCCATCATTTTTTTTCAATGAAAAATAAGCTTTCCAATTTTCAAAGATTCATTCTAATTTATACAATTTACAAAATTATTCTTTCTAATTTTCAGACTCTTTCTAATTTACACATTTTTTTTTTGCCAATTGTTACGTTTGGTTTTGTATTATAGTTATTGGAGGACTGATTATATTTAGACATTTGAATGAGACATGGTGATATAATTATATAAACTCTGGGCAAAATGGAGGGAGTCAAGAGCCAGGAATAGCACAATTGCCTTTTATGACTAGAGAGATGAGAAGGAATGGGGTGAATTTGACTCCAGACTGAAGGGATAGTTGAATAGGTAGACACAGAATTCAGAGTATGTGGAATGCTCAGGTGAGATTCAGGAGAGGGTTGGTACCGGCATTTCTAAACGGAAGTGAAGTAGGGCAGGCAGCCTGTAACACTGAGTGGTCCCATTATGAGACAACCCTCAAGAAGGTAACACCAGACAAATAATCAGGACACAACTCCTATCCTAAGAGAGGATAGAAGAATCAGGCAGAATATTTGGGTGGAAATCAAAGTACAGTCCATATTTTTTTTCTGTGTTTGGCAAGCATGATATCAGAGAAAAGTGAGCTTTGACCAGTGTGAATACTTACAGATAATCCCTGGAGGCAGACCTGGCTCTGATGCGTAGCAAGAACCTAGCAGTGTTAACAGAGTTCAGATGTGAGAGGCTAGCTCAAACTACATTAGAACAAAGGGGTAAGGGGAGAGTGGAATTAGGTGTGATGTTTTAATGTACTCACTGCCTCTGCAGGATTAGCTGGAGACCCAGAGAGCCTGAACCCACTGATGCTGATGGTGGAGGTTACCAAGCTGAGGACTCTATAGCAGACTCCTGGGCATGGGAACTTCTGAGTGTCAGATTATCTGTGGATAGGGCTGTGATACCTGATACTTATTTATTTGTGTTTTGAACCTATGGAGAGTAGAAACTTGCCTCATTAACATGTCTATGGCTTGAGGCACCTAAAATAAGACTTTGCTTATAGAAAGTTCTAAAAAATATTAGGATTAGATATACTTAAGGGTATTAAGGAAGAATATCCTTGTATTACAGCGAGGCTCAACATTTAAATCCTGTGTTTCTTTTTCCTTATCTGCAAAAAGTGGATGGCATTTGTATATTGTAGGATTGCTATAAGAATTAAATAAGATAATTTATGTAACAGTTTTTTAAAAGCGTAATAATTAACAAGCACTTTATACAAGCTAGAGATTGTTTTATCATTAATATCATCATCATCCTTTTTATTTCCATTCATATACTTAAAAATTAATCTAATTACAGTATAGGCAAGATGTCTCTTATTTTACTTTCTATTCCACAAATTGAAAATAAGATTTCCATTAATCATTCATAATAAATCTATGCTTCAACCAAAATTATGTGTGTCCCCTTGAGTTGCCCATATTAGGCAACCTATATGGATTATAAAAGATTTCAACTGTTTATGGTTGTTTTTCACAGACACTCACATATGTTGTTAAAACATGTCATCCACATTGAACGTGAATTATTTTCAATTAAAGAAAAAAATTATACCATCTAAAGGTCATATTATTTATATCTGTAATAAATACAGTACAACAAATGCCAGTATAAATATCTCATCAAGTACTGAAGTTTGCTAAACTATTATTCTTGGAATTCAGCTTAGAAGGAAACATCTGCATTTTTCTTGGATGCTGCATCTTACAACCTCACAAGTGCAGCAAGTCAATTCAATTCAGAAGAAAAGTTAGAAAGCATAGCAGTGTTCTTCCTGAAGAGTGACAACACTGAGACAAAACAACAACAACGACAAAAAAAAAAAACATTAAAAAATAAATCCTGCCAGACGCAGTGGCTCACCCCTTTCATCCCAGCACTCTGAGAGGCTGAGGTAGGTGGATCACAGGAGTTTGAGACCAGGCTCGGCAACTTGGTGAAACCCCATTTCTACTAAAAATATAAAAATTAGCTGGGTGTGGTGGTGGACTCCTGTAGTCCCAGCTACTCAGGAGGCTGAGGAAGGAGAATCCCTTGAACCAGGGAGGCGGAGGTTGCAGTGAGCCACGATCATGCCATCGCACTCTAGCTGGGGCAACAGAGTGAGGCTCTGTCTCAAAATAAATAAATAAATATTTTACCTGTAGACTTGAGTCAATGGTCATCAGAGCCTGAGGTTTATCCAGATCTTTGGATGATTGTTCACTTGTAAGAAAATCACTAAATTAAAATATTTATATCTGAAAAATGTTTCCAGAAGCCTCAAATTTATACATGTACCATGAGTCTGAAAAAAACTATCAGCATGTTGCAAACTTAAATAAGCAGTTGGATTAGTACACACATATAAAATACATTCCTATTAATAATATTACTTACTTTCAGAGCTCAACAAAGACTCCCAGATCTGTCTCTTTAGCTTTCCCCAGTGATGTAAGTATACTGAGGACAAGCCACTCCAGCAAAATGTGCTCACAGGTTTTGCCTCAAAAGTAAACATTTCTTGAGTTCACTGGTAGTTTTGTGTTGCAAAGTCTTGTCAATGTTTGTGCTAGTAATTGCAACTCCTTGTATGTGAAATTATTCATTAAATGACAGATTTACGATAATAATTATAAAATTAACGATGAATGTGATGATGATGATAACTAAGATTTTTGAATGCTTATGTACACCAGGCATTGTGTTGAATGCTTTTCATGCATTGCCTCCTTTATTTGACTCCTTAAATGCCTTATTTGGTGACTAACATTATTAATTCACTTAACAAATATGTATTGAGTGCTTGTATACCACACACTCTTGATGATGAAGGATTTGGTTGTGATAGTAATATGTAAATTGGGTGTTTTCATAGAGCATCTATTCTAGGGTAAGTTAGATTCTCAATTCATGGAGTTTAAATTCGATTATTTACATATTCTTTGATCTCTGAAATTCTTAAAACTTAGAGAAGTTATCCAAAGTTGCAGAGTGTGTGTGGTTTTCAGTGCCCCTTCCCTTTCAGATGTACTAACATTCATTTCAGTTACAATTAGGACAAAAGGTGGAATTTTTTTTTCCTGACTATGGAATGTGTGGAAATGGTAAATTAAAACAAACAAAAACAAAACGAAAAACTAGGCTGGGGATGGTGGCTCACACCTGTAATCCCAACCTTTGGAAGGCTGAGGTGGGAGGATTGCTTAAGGCCACGAGTCCAAGATGAGCCTGGACAACATGGCAAGACTCTGTCTCTACAAAAAACAAAAAAGTTAGCTGGGTACGGTGGTGCATGTCTGTAGTTCCAGCTACTTGGGAGTCTGAGGTGGGAGAATTGCTTGAGCCTGGAAGGTGGAGGCTACAGTGAGTTAAGATCACACCACTGCACTCCAGACACCAGCCTGGGTGACAAAGTGAGACCCTCTCTCCAAATATTAAAAAAAAATAATAATTTTCAAAAAAGTCCTCTGTCTCATAGTGCCTACTCCCTTTTTTCTGTTAATGACTTGGCTTTGCCTTTGCCTTATGCTTAACTTTATTGTACTCATAGTACTTCACCACAAATGGTAAAAGTTACTGACTGGGTAGGTATTGTTTTTCTAATTCTATGTCTAATTTGTGCTAAGAATGTATTATTTCAAACCTGAGTATAAACTTTTCAAATGCAAATATTGAGATGAACATATCTTCCCCTCTTTTCCTTTGTTATGGTGAGTTTAATTGTGTTTTCAAAGTCGTATTGTCTTTGTCTTAGCAATATCACCTGCAAATGATTCCGCTCACATCTCCTAAGTATAAGGGAATTATTCTACAGCCACAATGTCATTATTATGCCTTAGAGAACTAAAAATAATTTCATAACATCATAAAATAATTAGTCCATATTTAATTTTTCACATTGCTACAATTATTTTTTGTGCATTTCCTCCCAAGTTAGGATCCAATCGAGGTTCTTGCATTGTTTTTAATTGCTATGTCTTTTTCAATCTAGAAAAGTCTTTGGTTTTTGTTCTTTCATTTTTAACCTTAATATTCTGAAGATACTGGTGATTTAAAGTTCGTATTCAATCATAATACAGCCCCCCCCTCCCACCAACCTGAGACTGGAGTCAGTTTCCTTTCCATAGTCATTGTGCAGGACATTTTTTTGTTGACTGATTGCTTGTTTTTTCCCTATTTACAGTTTTGCAATCCCTGGCTTTAAGATTTGTCTAGAAAACACATTGCCATGCCACTTTGATGATGGATCTGACTCTAAGGCCTCATGGCACATGTTTGGACATTTAAATTGCAACTCTTAAAGCTTCAATCCAGTGTTAATAACAGCACAGGACCTTGGCTTCACCTCCTGATCACCAAGATTTGGGTACCCTGTTTCCTGATGTACCCTCGATGATTTTTTTTATCCTTTTTGGGAGTCAACCAAATAATTTTTTGAAATTTCAGCATTTTATCTAATATTGTATTTTTAAGGGGAAAGATTACTTGACTCATCATAGTCTATCATTTTTGTATAGAATTTTTTCAATATTATTAGGCATTAGATTTATGATAATGAGTGGAAACACTTTGATAAAACAATATTTTTAAGTGCAAAGAGAGCTTCATGAATAAAGATAATTTATTAGGCAACAAAAACATCAAATAAACAGATTTTTAATGTCAATGACAGCAAAGATTATAGAAAATAAAGTGTTTTTTGGTTCTTTGATGATTCGAGTCCTATTTGTATCAATAAATTTAACCTACATCAATTAGTGTTTGATGGTTCAGTATTTGTGTGAGTATACACATTTACATGTGCATTCACACAGGCATGTTAAATGTTTTTCTTTCTAATTCTCATTAATTTTAAATATTTATTTAAATATTTATATGCATTTATCTGTATAAAATTAGCCACACCTGGCTGATTTTTATATTTTTAGTAGAGACAGGGTTTCACCATGTTGGACAGGCTGGTCTTGAACTCATGACCTCAGGTGATCCACCCACCTTGGCCTCCCAAAGTGCTGGGATTACAGGTGTGAGCCACCATGCCTGGCCGAATTTTAAAAAATTTTTAACCTCATTGGGATTTCATCACGGTATACTTCCACTTGATAAAGAAGTTGCTGTAGAGAGCTTGTCCTGGACTCTGCATTTTTTATATGAGCATTCTGTAATGGCCATATATAATTTTTAAATTTTTTTTTTAGAAAAATGTAACAATCTTAGCAAAGATTTATCGCTTACAGAAACTCTTTTTCATGTCAGTGTAGATTTTCATTAGGCCATTTTCTCATATGAATATAGATAAGTTAAGATGTGACAAATTATGCATCTCCAAAAACACTACTTTCTGATAAAAGAGGATGTAGCCAATATTTTAAATTCTTCTTTCTTTTAAATTCAGTACTTTCTCCATAAGTATTGGACAGAGCAATGGAAATCATATTCTAAGGTTAATAACATAAAGCAATGTATCTTAGGGACATGTAAAGAATAGATCATATCCAAAACACTGAATACACAAAAGGATAATTTTATTACAATAACCCTGAAGAATAATTTCGGGAAAGAACACCACAAGATGTGTATGAAAGATTATTTCCTCTCAGGGACTAGACAAGGTAAAGAGAAAATAAAAAGTAGAGTAGCTACAGTAAATAGTACATGAACCAGTTCATGAAAGTGATAAGCAACTTAAAGTACGGGACATTTAATGTGTCAAAGGGAAATAAAACAAACAAATAAAAAGAAAGAAATGATAAGAGCAAAAATTATCCAAGTGCTTTACGAACTGAAATTTCTGTCCCTTGCCTGACTGTCATCCTGTTTTCCAAATGCAGTCCCTGCAATGGTCTCATAGTGGATGGTGAGTAAGTCCTTGGGGGAATCATCAGTCACAAAAATCATACAGTATTTATTTAAGCTCTGAATGTCAAAAAAAAGTGACAGGAAAGTGACCTCATCCCAGATCACCCAACTCTAAAATTTTATTCCAAAAGTCAAAACTGTTCTATTCTAACCCATCATTACTATTCTTTCTGTATATTTGAAGAAAGCAGTTTGAAACTAGAACTTTCTCCACATTGAAGTTATTTTAAGGTAGAAAGTTCAATACTCTCACAAGAAGACAGATATTTAAGCATGTAAGAAAAGTTATACATGTCTCACATATTTTCCAGATATTTTTAAATGGTATGGAATAATTCCAAACTATTCAAAATTATATTTCCTTTAAAGATCTAAACTATAGTCATTTTAATTAAAATAACCTCTCCTCCTTCGGAACCTGGTCAGACTCTTTTTTATGTCCTACATCAATGAATGGAAATGTACTTATATAGATATTAACTCAGTGGAATCACTTTATGAATGATTCTTTAAAAATCCCATAAATTATCAGATTATACAGTTAAATTATATAGATGTTAATTTTTAGGAAATTTCATTAGGTTATTGAATTCATATTTATTATCCCATATAGAATATTAAACATTCTCCATTTTTGCCTTGAGATTTTCTTAGTCAACAAACTGCTCACATTTAAAAATTCTCATAACTTACCTTTAAAGTTTTAGTTAAGCTTTGTCTCCTTTTAGTAACAGTTCAAGTTTGTCATGATTTAAAATAATGAATTTAAAGGCTGATCCGATTCTTAAAGTATAATATATTTAAAAGTTAAGGACAAAATTAAAGCATTTATTTCTAATGTTTGTCTTGAAATGATATTAAACTTTAGAGGAAAGCACTATGCAAATCTTACATAAGGTGTTATTGAACAATGTACAATGACTGACGGTCTTTCTTTTTCACAATTGTTAATAGTATATATTTCAGTGATCCACACGGAAATTTATGGTCCAACCCTGTACTACTTTTCCCCCACCATAATGTCATTCATTCACGTAAGTATTTACTGAACAGATCTAATATGCTATGAACTTTATCAGGCATTGGTAGTATACATGTGAGAAGATTCATGGTCAAAATTGGATAGATGGGCACTTAGGAAGTCTTTGACACTGTGGTAGGTGTATCATTGTATGATTCTGAATGTATCATTGTGATGTACAATGGGAACACAAAGGGTCTAACTCAGTCTCAAAAGTCAATGAAGGATTTGCAGAATAAGCAGTGCCTCTACTGAAACTAAAATATCTTCTACAACGTGTGTGTGTGGACTAAATTATCTTCACCTGCAGTATGTACATGTGTGTATTTTTGAGTGCTCTTTATTACATTTGTAAAATAAAAAGATAGAAATAAAGCTCAGTTGGAAAACTAAAAAAGCAATTGTGCAATATTTATTATGATTTCAATGGGCTAACATTGGTGATCTCCAACATTATTTAAATGTAGACTACTCAGATATTGTAAGTCCCTCTAATTAAACATTAATAATAATAAACAAAAATTTGGTGAAAACTCAATAGCACTGTGACCCATTACTCGCCATGATCACAACCACTAAATGTAATGATATTGTCTTTTTGTTTTGCTTGCGGGTTTTTATTGTGGTTGCTATTGTTATTATCTGGTTTCCTTGATGTTTTTGCCCCAATAATTAATTTAATGGTGAATTTTTTTGGAAACTTTGATACTACGATTTCAGCTTATCATGTGGAAAGAAGCATAACTGAGTTTTTACTGTAAGCTAGGACATTTTTGCATACACAGCAATATGGTTTAGAACTTCATAGGTGAATGATAGGCTGTGAAGGATGCATTATAAATGAAATCTAATGGTGCTTTTACTCTTAATGGTTTAATCACTTATTTGTAATTTTGTTCATTTCTTCATTAAAATGAGTTTTCCTGATTACTATGTTCAATGTGTTATGCCAGTATATGGACAAATGACCGAAAGCTTTGATATTTTCATAGCAGGATTCACTAACTTGCCTAAATTGCATCATGAACCTAGTGGCAAATACACTGAGAAGATCAGTTGATTGTACCTCTTCTTTTTTGTTTTGGTTTTGAACGCACAATAAAAAATAAGACTTTGAAGCAACAAAGCCCAGCAGAGCTTGTTTGGCTTTCCTCATGACAAGAATGTGCTGGAAGTATACCTGCCCTGAGACAGGAGACAGACATTGACTAGTAAAGAACCTCAAATAATTGCCCTAGAATGGTATCATTTTATGACTTTTTGTCAAAATCAGACTTTCTTTTATTTATTAACTCAATTCAGGAATATTTTAAATGTCCTGACAGCCTTGCTAATGCAAATAAATCACTAAGAAATGTTCATTTGCAATTGTTTTTGCTGACCAAGGAGGGTCATGAATCTCTTTCACATGCTAACAGTCTGTGTTTTTGTTTTCCCTAAAAAGATTGTCATCTGAACATATGGATAGTAAATCAAAGTGTTAGAAAATATTACAGATGATCAATATGTTCATGTCATTACTTTTGTGAGAATTTTACATTTGTTGTAGAATATAAATTTCCCTAGACTTACAATGATTTTGTAGATTTTCTAGCTAATGGAGAACTCATTGTTTATTGAAATTGAAACAAAGAAATGTTATGACTTATACTGGGTCACAAAGTTAATTAATGGCCCATAGCAAATGTTCTCAGGAACCAGGACTCTTATCACGTCTTTCTCTAAACAACAACTTGAATGACATAATAGAAGGTTCATTAAAAGAAATCACTCTTAGTCTCAGAAATAAAATACAGATGGAAATGTTTACAATGCACCATACTATCATCAAATATTCTAATTAGAAGCTTGCTAAATGACTCCTGCCATATTATACTGCCTAATTTTTGTGAATTCAACTAAAATTCTAAGTAGCTATATATCTTAAGCTATGAAAGCAGTGGACATGTCTTTATTCAGTAATATTTTAAAAGTTTTAGGCCCTGGCACAGTGACTCATGCCTGTAATCCCAGCACCTTGGGAGGCCAAGGCAGTAGGATCTCTTGATGCCAAGAGTTCAAGACCAGCCTGGAGAACATAGTGAGATCCCATCTCTCCAAAACAGAAAAAAAGAAAAAAAAGGTTTGTGTGGTGGTGTGTGCCTATAGTCCCAGCTACTTGGGAGGCTGAGGTGGAAGATTGCTTGAGTCTAAGAGTTTGAGGTTACAGTGAGCTATGATTGTGCCACTGCACTCCAGCCTGGGCAATAGAGCAAGACTCTGTCTCAAAAAAAAAAAAAAGTCTTAGGAGTGAACTGTGTATGTTTTGTAAATGCCAATAGCATCTCTCCATTACCTTTATCTGCAGCACCACTTTCTTTATCTAGGGATGGAAAGTACAGGACCCAAGTTCACCTCCTAGTCCTCCATTCTATACTTCACCCACTTCCCTACTTCCAAAGCCATGGAAAACATCACTAATCAGCCCCAGCCATCTTTCTACTGGATATAGCCCCATACTCCTTAGCAGTAGAGTGCTCCAAGACGTCCCTAAGCATGAAACAGAATTGGAAAATGAAATGAAACTTGTTTAATATCCTAGTTCTAATCCCTTTTGCTTATATCCTGGTAATTATTATTTTCTTCTTTTTACCTTATCCCTCTTTGCCCAGAAAAACATTGAAACATTTGTTTTAAAAGCTTGACACTCTCTTACACAAAGTGTATTGAACCAACTTAATTTTTTTTGACATGAAGCCATTACAAACAGCCATCATGATACTAAACAGTGATAGAACTTTGAGGTTTTTTTGTTTGTTTGTTTGTTTCCGTTTTCTTTATCCATTGTTATGTCTTCATTTCTCTTGCTGTGGGTGGCTATTGGGGGTCTGGCAACCAAGAGTTTCTTCTTCTCTCAGTATCTACCACTCATTCTTCAAGTTTTTACTTCTAATATCCCTTCTCATATGTTGTAAGATAAAAAGCGGTGAACTAAACATGCTCTGTGTATGTAAAGCAAGGATCTATGAGATTGTACGAGTTCAGGTAGAAAGATGCAGGCATGGGCACTGCTGTTTCTGAAGTTCCTACTTCCTTTTATTAAGACTTGAAGTGTGGACTGGGTTGTGACACCTAGCAAAGAAGATTTGGACAGATTACAGGAAACCAGTCAGCTCTGTCTGTTTCCCGCATGTGTCTCTCTCTGTACTTCAAATGTGATTCTCCTGAAAGCAGAAAGCAGAGGTGAGTCTTTTGTGACCTCAGGTGAAAGCAGCTCAGATCAGAGCCTCAGGAGATATGTCAGTTGTTCTTGGACTGTACCTAGTGACTATAGCCGAGTCAAACCTCCAATCTATTTTCAGAAGAGAAGCCCAACTTTGGTAGTCAGATCCCGGAAGCCACAGGTGGAGGCAGGGAGGAGTTGAGGGTGTGGCCTCAGGTGGAAGCAACTTGGTGTAGGTACTGCAGAGGCGAACTCTCAGTAATCAGAAGGCATCAAGCATGGAGGTTCGGTATGAAGAGGTTGTCCGTGGGTATTCCTGTAAAGGGGCCTGTTTTTCTATCAGAAGTCAGTTTCATCGTTAGGTTTGGATTCTGCTATGATTTTCCCAGGTGTGGAATGGGAAACATGGAGTATTTGTTAACACAAGTTCAAAATTGCATCCTTGCCAGCACCTGATTAGGAATAAGAGGCCAGGTTGGCCTGTGGCCCAGGCTAGGTTGAGCACCCTCACTCCATCGCACTGTGGTTCTGTGCTTACTCTTCTGCTGCAAGTGAGTGAGTTACTGGGGCTTGACTTTCCCCTTCTCGATTACATTCTTTCTTTCTTTTTTTTTTTTTTTTTTTGAGACAGAGTCTTGCTCTGTTGCCCAGGCTGGAGTGCAGTGGCCCCATCTTGGCTCACTGCAAGCTCCGCCTCCTGGGTTCATGCCATTCTCCTGCCTCAGCCTCCTGAGTAGCTGGGACTACAGGTGCCCACCACCAAGCCTGGCTAATTTTTATTTTTTAATTTTTTTATTTTTTTTCCATTTTTAGTAGAGATGGGGTTTCACTGTGTTAGCCAGGATGGTCTCGATCTCCTGACCTCGTGATCCGCCTGCCTCGGCCTCCCAAAGTGCTGGGATTACAGGCGTGAGCCACCGCACCAGCCTTGATTACATTCTTGATTAAAATTAACCTCCTTTCAAATTCATTAATGAGCTCAATGACACAGCCATTCAAAAGATCCCCCTGGAAAGTTGTCAGTGGCGACCATGGGGTGATAAAAGCCTTATCATCCTGACATTCCTCATGCAACGTGATGAATCTCATAACAACTTCCACCCTGCTTGTTGCCATTATGTCCATGGGATGTTTACCAGTTTTATTGAGAATATCCTGGCATTCATTCAGATTTTCCGATTCTTTCCTGATAACAGCTGTCAGCATAAGCATTATATGTTCTGTGCTGTGAAAAGTTCTGAATGTCGATTGTCGTTTTCTGAAAATGGTTCTGCTGCCCTTGGAGAGCTGGTGTGGGAATGGTTAGGGAAGCATCTTTTACTATTGCAACTTAAGTCAGGGGCTCTTCTTGAAGTGTAGTATCTTCTGAATGCATCCAGATAGTTCTTTGTTTCTCCTTTTAGTAACAAGGGAAATACCAGTAATATTGTTGGTGGCTCTGAAATGGTTTCGAGTAGAAAATGGTTATCTCCGCTGCTCATTCAGAGAGTGAGCATTGAGGGTGTTCTTGGGAATTTGACAGGTGGAGAGCATCTCGTACATTAGGGCTTGCATTTGTTCAGTCTCCTGTCAAGTGTTTCCTTCCATAGCCAGACTGACATCAGGGACTGTGTAGTAGGACAAGCTACCACATGGTAACAACTACATGTTGTTTGTACCAGACCACAAGGTTTGGAAATAGGCCACTGGAAATGCTGTGAACTGGCTTGTACTGGATTGGTCAGCAATTCAGAATTAGGAATATAATGCACATCGTTAAGATACAAGCACCAAATTTTAATAATTTGGAATGTTACTGTCTTCCAAGATAACCTCCCTGTATGTACTTTTAATGTCTCAACAATAGAAAACGGCTCGTTATTCCTTCCCTCTATACTCTATAAACTAATTACTCTCTAGATTTTTCTCTTAATACAGCTGCTAAACAACAGAATAAAAAGTTGACAACTAGATATCAATACTAGATAGGGTGTGCATACATGATTTGCCAAACTCCAAAATTGACTCTCAGTGTGGTTTACAATCTTGGCAAATCCCATGTCTTAACTTAAAATGGAAAGTATATATTCTTCAGGAAGATAAAGATCAATGATAACACAGAGATGATCTTTTAGGAAGACATTGTTCTTAGACACCCACCACAACATCCTGTGCTTGGGAAGCAGAATATTGTCCTCTACAGGAGTCCGGCTCTGTGTCAGCAAGCTCTTGTCTTCAGGGCTGCAAGTCTTTCCCTTCCCAAATGTCCATACCAGAAAGCAAAACTCAGACCAAACTAGGGCATGGACAGGAACACACTCTATGAAGAGACTAGACAGTTATTGGCTCTGCATTTTGACCAACTTGTTGTTCTTTTCCTGGACTGACCCACTTGGCCACGGCATTTGCCACTCCTCCTTATCTTCACCAACCTGCTAGTGCTGACACTGCCTTTGCCTTCCTTGATCCTCTCCCAGGCTTAGAGGTAGACTTTTACTGTTGCTGCTCTTTGCTGATCATTGCTGCAAGGTGGAGAACTCACTGGGTCAGTATGAACAACTGACCTTCAAATCAGTGTGAAAAATGTACCATTTTTTCTTTCCTAATAGTAATCCTGCTACTCTCACCCCAGTAATATCACTAAATCAATCAGGATCTAAACCCTTCTAAAAAAGGAATAATGTTTGCCAAATCAGGCAAAGTGTTAATGAGCATAGAGTCTAGACCACCATCTTGTTACTGACCATAGGCAATAATCATTCAGGGAAAGGTTGAACATAGGTTTTCAATAAAAGAAGTTTTAAATACAAGAGCCAGTTCTATCTCTCTGACAATTTTAGAGGTCATGTGTCATGTCTTTAAAATCACAAAAGAATATTCAGTGAGAAAAAAAAATGCCTGCATTTTTATTGCTGTAATAAGAAAATAATACTTTTAGTTATATATTTTAATTACTAATTCAGAAGGTTCTAAGCAGCTTTAGTGAGTTGCTTCTAAAATATGGAATGTATTTAATGATGTGTATATTCATGATTTTATATTTCTGGTAATATTTTGGGACCATAGGCCAGGTTTCACGCTGCTACAAGCACAGGTATTTCGTGTTTCTCAACATCCAGTAATTACTGCTGCTTCGGAGACAGGTTAATCCTCTTTGCAAGAATTTGGCTATACAAATTTGCTTATTTTGGTGAAGGGCACTGTCTAAATTATTTTGTTGCATTTTATTGTGCCAATGTCATGCAGTCTAAGTACCAGTTACTTTTAGAGTGAATTCTTTTACTCTTAGTTATTTTAGAAAAAAAATATTTAAAAAAACTAGTGAAAACTTTCGTTGAATGACATAGTTCCAAAGAAGGTAAAATGGATTTCTTATGTATATTTCATTTTCATATTAATGGATATTAATGTCTCTTTTTTGATTTGTGGGTTAATAAAGAATACCAAACTAATTGACTTAATTTGGGGGTAGCATCGTGGACAGAGTAATATGTAAGAATTTTTAAAAGAAAAATTGAGGTGAAAATCAGGAGTGAAGGTCAGAGAGAACCCTGGAGAAAGGATGTGCTGGGCCAGAGAGCAGGAGATGTTAGTAATGTTTGGGAGCTCTGTCATTTCTCTGAAGATTTGAACCCATGTGTGGTGGGGGATAGATATTTGCTTTAAGAAAGTTCTGTGGCAAAGTAGGGAACCTACTAGATAATGTAAGCTTTTGAGAAAAAAGAATGTAAATTCATCTGAAATAAAATTATACCCATTTTATAGTCTACAACCAAATACATTCCAGACTGTAAAAATGTGAAAGAGAAAAAATAAAATGAGAAAAGCACTAGGAAGTTCTGTGTGATGGTCTGAGAGCTAAAAGAAAAAAGAAGAAGAAAAAATACTAGAAGAAAATATAAGTGAATGTGAACATAAGCTTATCTAGGTATGACATCCAAACCTAAAATCTTAAAGGAAAAGATTTACATATTTGACAATAAAAATTTTTGAAACTTGCATTTGGCAAAGTGGCTCAAACCAAACAATGATCTAAAAAATGTTTTATATATTGAATATATATATGCACATATATGGTTGACAAAGGGTTAATATATTCAAACATAATACACTTTTTCCCTGTGTTTTTATGTCTTTTTCTTCTCCATGAAATGTTCTTGTGTTCTTCACTTGGTCGACTTTCACTTACTCTTCAATCTCAACTTGTATTACTTCCTCAGGCAGTCTTCCCTGATGGCCCAATTCTCTGACTTCTCTTGCAGTACATTTTCTGTGCCAGAGAATTATTTTCCAACCTTCATTGTAGCTGTAATTGTTAGTGACCATCTTTTTTTGCTAGACTCTATGCTCCAGAGGGCAGAGCCATGTTTCATGTTTACCACTGTATCTGTAGCTTCTGAATATTACTGAAGGTCCTCCATCAGTACTATTTGCCATTGAAATGAATGACTACTATAAGAACTCATTGCGAACAATTCGAGGAAGGAAACAAACAGGCAATTGACAAGAGGAAGCATACCAAAGCTCAAAACCCAAACAGGATAACATATGCTGCATCAATAGTCAAATACATACAGATTAGATTTATTTGTGAATATATTATCTCTATTCATAAAATGTGTTTGTGTACTTGTTGTCAGAATACCTAAAAAATTAATAATAGCATTAATTGCTAAGGGATTATTTTTAAATCCGGGTCAACCATCCAAATATTGTAATGTTAACATGTTGCAGCTACAAAAAATGGGTGCAATATCTAGAATTATTGAAATCAATAAATACCATGTTAAGTTTAATTGAAAAATAAGAGTCTTGACATATATGTATGTGTGTGTGGCTATGGATAATGGTATCCCATTTTTGTAAAAATACATGTACATATATAAATATTTAAATGTCCAAAGAAAAACTCTAGAACAATATACCAAAAAATTTGAAAGTGCTTGTGTTTCAGCATTTATTAGCATGCCTGGTGAATGGTTTGGCTGTGTCCCCATCCAAATCTCATCTTGAATTTAGCTCCCATAATTCCCCCATGTTGTGGGAGGAACCTGGTGGGAGATAATTGAATCATGGTGGCAGTTGCCCCTATACCATTCTCGTGGTAGTGAATAAGTCTCATAAGATACAATGGTTGTATAAAGGGAAACCCCTTTCATTTGTTCTGACTTCTCTCTTGCCTGCCGCCGTGTAAGATGTGCCTTTCACCTTCCACCATGATTGGGAGGCCTCCCTAGCCACGTGGAACTGTGAGTCCATTAAACCTCTTTTTCTTTACAAATTACCCAGTCCCTGGTATGTCTTTATCAGCAGCATAAGAACAGACTAATACATCTTACTAATTATTCATTGATGTATGCTTTCTCTCAATCCAATCATTTTGGTCTAAATTATAAGTCCTTAACAAGGGAAGGTGGATAGACAGAAAGCTAATCAGACAGAACAACAGAGAGAGAGATGGAGACATGAGGATTCAGACTTCTTGGGTTGGGTTCTGCCAAAAGCAGAGCTTGAGAGAAAAGAAACATGTGCAAGTGGTTGTTTTTGAAACACCATCCCAGGGAGCAAAAATGAGGGATGGAGGAGTGAAGCAGGGAAGGAGAGAAATCTAATGAAAGGCTGCGTGATCAGTTTGACCACTGCATCTGGTGACTAGATCCTTGATCCCATGAGCCTCTAAGGTAAGCTTACCTATGTCTTCCATGTGTCAGATGTAAAGCCTGACCATCCTTGCCCCCCACTGCTAGCACACCTCCCCTGTGGGTGTCAGGGTGGATGTGACTGAGCTACTTGGAAGGAAATAAGGAAGAAAACATAAATAATTATTATAATTGTTAATTTTGGAGTTAATATTGCTGTGATAAAATATTAACATTGAAATGAAAATCCCCTCTGCAGTCCGTAGCAGTTTCAGCTGTGACTGTTTCTGAAAACAGAGAAAGCGCACACAAGGAAACCCAAATTCTGTCTTTCTTGAGTTTCTAGCATGGACTACTGAGTGACCAGATTTGGTGTTAATCCCATTTCATCTAATGGGACCCAAATGGAATCTAAACACCATGTACCTGGTTTGGGGCACTGGTGAGTAGGGATTGCAATGTCAAGTAAGCAAGGGACCGTTCTCTAAACATCTCTACCATTTAGGTCTTCATTTGTATTCAGGAAATGTTTATAATCCTGACCCCCTGACCCAGTAAGGATTTTGATAATTGAGATCAATCATGATCTCAGTTTTTGATTTAGGACTAAAGGGGAAAGTGGGAAAGTGTTAGCAGTGGAACGTATCCAAGTCATGTGGCACCAAAGTTTGTTACCAGCTGCGAATCTGTACGGGTTTGCAGCAACCTCAATTCTAGCCTTCTCAGAAGAAAGAATTTGACTGAGGGGCATAAAGCAGAAGGAGAGACCAAGGAGCAGAAGTCAAAATTTGTTAAAAAGCTTTAGAGCATCAATGAAAGCTAGTAAACTGCCCTTGGAATAGGGCCCATCGGGCAACGTGAGAGATCAAGTGCACTGTTTGACCTTTGACTTGGGGTTTAAATGTTGGCATGCTTCGGGGTCTTGCATCACTTCTCCCCTGATTCTTCCCTTGGCCTGTCTGCATGTGCAGTGGCTGGCTAGCATTTGGGAGGGGCCTCATACGCAGTGTGTTTATTGGAGTTTTACGCATGCTCACTGGGGCCATTCTTCCCTTACCAGTCAAGTGTTTCTAGAGGAAGGTCATATTCCAGTTAAACTCCACCGTTTTGCCTCTTAGTGTGCATGCTTGAACCCAGTCACCCAACTCCTGAGATCTCATCGCGAGGCTGCTGATCACCAGTTTCAGGTTTTTCCTCTTTATTGGGAGACTGACTTTCCCTGGGGCTGCTGGCTATGACCAATTATTATTTTAGAGAGACAGTTAACAATTGATTGACCATCACCATAGCTGGATATTCCTGGTGTTTGTGTGTGGGGCACCTATCCTGCCCTGCTCATGTCTGACTAGCTACCTAGTGTAACAGAAGGCTGTTTTAAGTGCCAGATTCCACCTCTATTTGGCATACTGAATTGTCTTCAGATACACGGCTTGGCAACTTAATTATGTTGCTTCTCAATAGTGCCTCGTCAACTCTATAGTGCTGCCTTTCTTGGTATAGGAGAAAATAAAATAAACAAAAATTATAATTGGGAATGTGCTTAAGGAATTAATACGAAAAGTTGTTTTTAGATGTTTTTATAAATCGAGAATTTTTTTTT
The DNA here is from genome assembly GCF_000001405.40 of Homo sapiens. Lineage (NCBI taxonomy): Eukaryota > Metazoa > Chordata > Mammalia > Primates > Hominidae > Homo > Homo sapiens. The sequence goes on along the minus strand of NC_000001.11, from coordinate 239,133,956 downwards.
AAGATAGGCTTGGAATCTCATTTGCTCTGCTGTGAACGGAAATGTAGCATTGCTGATGTACTGATTAAATATGCTTTCATTCAGGAGCAGATCTACTGGCATATAGAATCTGTGAGCAAGCATGAATAGAAAATAGTGTTATAAATGACCAACTCTCATTTATATATGTAGATGAATGAGTCTCAGGTTTAAAAATGAATGAATCTTACCAGATACAAGCTCAAACTATGAAGAAGTTAATATCATGGAAATTCTGATTAATTAGAAATGTTCTAAAATGTGGCTAATTGCCTTTTCCGATTAAGGAACAATGTGGAGGTGAGTGCTTTTATAAAAATGTCTTTTTAATTAAGACATAGTCATTCATTTCAACTGTTTTATATTTTATTCAGCATAATTCTATTAATAGGACCATTATCCAGAGGTAAAGGTGTAAAGCTAGAATAACTTGCATACTGCTCCTCACATGCTATAACAATGGAGCTCCCTCAGGCTAGGGGAGTCTTTTAGGCTCCAGTGTTCCTAACTCTCAAAAGACTGTGGGATTCTTAAAGGGGCAGTAAAAAGTCTCTTAAGCATTTTTGCTTGAAGGGAAAGAATTTGAAATAAAGGGTATTTACCTTTACCAGCTTGAATTTTTTTCATGTTCTCCAATCTATTACATTTTTCAATAGGAAAAATTGGGGGAATGATATCCATTAGTTCAATTGACTGGCTCCTGTACACTGCTCAAAATGCATTTCTTCATCTTCTGAATGATCTAGAATATTTATCCTAGGGAAAACACCTCTAGTCATCTATCCTAACCCTAATTTCATTCCCAGCCTGTTCTTTTTCTTCTCTCTCAGCCCCTGTAACTTTCCATACTCTTCTGCTACCAGTTGTTTCAGATGTATCTGTTAAACAAGTTACTGAAATGCCAAGAAGTTTCCCGACAACTTTAATGTTGCCTTAAATATCTTCTATGGCAGACTGGGTGATTGATTTCAGCCTTTTAGTTTTTCAGTTAAGTGAGAGAACTATTTCCTTATACACTGATGTTGCACCTGGCCATGGCACTAGCTTTGTCCAATAAGACATGGACAAACTAATGGGAATAAAACACATCAATAACAAAACAGACTCTCTGTCATCTCTCACCCAAGGAATAAAAGATATCTATAAACCATTAACCTATTTATAGTGATCGTGAAATAATCAGACCAAAGACCCAAAACCCCATTCATTGCTACAACCAATGAGGATTCATAATCTAATGGCCTTTAACAAACCAAAAGCAAAAACAAAACATTAAAACCCTCCATGTCTGCTGACCATGAAGTATTATGCAGCAGTTTGAAGCAGTTATAATTGTAAACACAGCAACATGAGGGATTTTAAAAGCATAAAATATAAATGTAGAATAAGATACATAACATGATGATATTTATGAAAATTAAAAACAGATGTATATAATGAACACCTATAAACAGAAAATAGCAAACATTTAAGAACAGCAAAATGGTCCTCTATGAGAGGAGTAGAAAGAGAGTGGATAGGAGACATGAACATCAGCTCAAGCAATAAATGAGGCAAAAAGAGAGCTTTAAAGTGGTCAGCTATGAGAACGGACTACAGACCAACAGTACCATATAATCTAATCTCTGTATCTGAGTTTTAAAATAAAATGTTAGAAAGTCTTTCCCCAAACAGTGCAAATATGACCATCTTATTTTTTTTCTGGTAGTTATTAAAGTGATTGATTTTTTTCATTTTTTTTCATTTGATATATTTGGACTCTATTGTGCTAGCACAAGTATAAGATTATGACTTAATTTTATTTTCTTTCCAAATAACTAATTCTCTCAGAGTCTTTTATTGAAAAATCCTTATTTGTTTCTAGTGATGTGTGGTGCCTCTGTAAGCCTGTATTAAATTATTCTACATACTCTATGGAAGCTTTGAGACTATTTCATCTTTCATTGAACTGTTTTTCTATTTGTGTACTGGTATCCCAATGCTTAGATATTGTAACTGTATGTAATTTTGGAGGTCTTCCACCAAAATGCTTGACAGATTCACCTGACAGAACCAAATAAACTTCATCACCAGAGAAGTGGTGTAGTTCATGAAGAGAATAAACCTCCTTATGATAGATCCAATGTGACAGTAGAACTTTGTCGACTCTATTTTTCAAAATTTTCTTTCTTCTCTCCAATATTTTTGTGGTTTGTTTTTGCTTTTCATTTGTTAAAGGCTGATAAGTTATTATTCCTCATTGGTGGCAGCAATGATTAGGAATTAGATTTTATCGTCTGCATATTTGTTGATCACTATAAATGGATTAATAGTCTATGGAGATATTTTATCCCTTGGATGAGAGATGACATAGAGTCTGTTTTGTTATTTATTAGCTTGATGGCTTATTTTTCTATTGTAGCTGAAATCAATTAAGAATTTTTTCGCCCATTAGGAAGAAGAAAAGTTATTTCATATCTCGACAGGTGAGTAGCTGTGTTCTTATATTTATTTTTGGTTGAAATTATAGAACTGAAACTATAAGCATTTTCTATGTCTGTGTGTCAAGGTGTCTAAGCTAACATGGCCTTTACCGCTTACTGTTGGTGTGTAATGTTTTTCGATCTCTCGAGAGTGTTAATAATTTAGGTGAATCATTAATGATTTAGACCCAGTTTGGGGAAGTATGCATGATTGCAAAGGGGCGTTTCTCAAAACTGGGAATGTGTATTAAAAGGAAAGGGTATTCTGTCTCCTGTATAATCTTTTTAGGCAGAAATTACTGGCCATGGTAAGGTTAATAATATTTTTACAATATTTTATTGAGGCAACGTAATAAGTACATTTTCTGCTTTTTTGTAGCATCGATGTTACAGATTTGGACAGAGATTTCTCAGATGAATTTTGCACATATTACGCATTTCATCTCCAACAGTATATGAAAGTTATATTCCAAGAAAGTGCACAAAGCTGTTCATGTGACATAGTTGAAAATAATAGTTAGTGGTCACACTTAAAAATATAGTATTTGCCTAAGAGAAATGAGAAAACCCTGAGAAGCTTGGAAGGTGTTTGGATACTTCAGGATTTAACCAATGGTCACCTGGAGCACTAAATGCAAACACACACACACAAACATACACACAGAGTCACACACTCAGAACCCCACATACCGAGAGACTTACACGTGAGGGTTTATCTGTGTTGTGTTTTACTGAGAACTTAGAGATGAACAAGGACATTTATGTAGTCCAAAGAGAAACATGGTAAATTTAATTTTCGATATTTATCTTCCTCCTCCTTCTTGGAACTAAGAAATAACAAAGAATGAACAACAAATTTCCCTTATTTTCCAATTCAGATAAATCTCTTTTTATCTCATACCTCCCAAATCAGCTCTGGGATTCCCTAGTCCTATCTTGCACAAAAGCTAGTTAAACTGCTCCACTACGGAGGGAGCCATCTTTTCAGTGTCTTTCTCTTCCATTCTCCAGTTGAAATACGGCTTTGAAAGCAGCACAAAGAGAGTATTCCTCTAGTCATAAACATTGTATTCCATCACTCAGGACAAAACAGCAGTTTTGGTTTCAGTAACAAACCTCTTCCTTTTATATCAATGCAGTTTGGTATTTCTATTCTTGTTTCATCTGTTTGCTATTTACATTTTTTTTTCCTTTTAAACATGCAGTATATTTCAGAAGTGTTTCATATAATTAGTACATAGTTGGTTTAATTATGTAAATTCGCTTGAACAATATTCCAATTTCCATTTCCATTTCTTCTCTTTTCTTTTGTGTTTACTTAATTGCCCTTCCAACTTTTACATCTTTAGTATATTTCAGAAGTCTTTGGTATAATCAGCATTTAGCTGGATGTGGTCATATACACTAATTTGTGTGGTATCCCAATTTATTAACAATGTGATTATCTTGCATCCACTGTGCCTTTCTTGGTCTCTGAGAATAGCATTTTCTTGCATAACTTGTCATTCTCTAAGCTTTCCCTTTCACTGTAGGATAAATTTATGAAACATCCCAAATTCCGTAATGCATCACACCTACAGTCCTCAGTTTCCCCTCCCAACTACAGATAGTGCTTCATATCCAGGTGCTGTACACCCCCAACCCTTCTATTTCTCACCTTGTTAATGGAAAGAAAAGGCAGTATATCATGAACCCAGTGAAAGGGAAGACAGGATATCCTGAACAAGTGACTTCATTTTCCAGATTTCCATATTTCCTCTGCTGGAAAATTGATGTCCTAATAGTACCTTCCTCATGAGTTTTTGTTGTCATTGTTGTTAGGATTAAATGAGATAATATATGCAAAATTATTGGAATGGTGTCTTGCACATAATAAATAGGAACATTGTGTAAGCAATTGCTATAACTGTTGTAACGATTACTGAAGATGTGATTTGGCTGTATTTTAAAAGCCTTGATTCCTGGGCTAAGATGCTAGCAGCCTCCTGAGTAGGTAGTGACTTGATTGCTTCTGCTTTATGAATCACCAGTATGTAGGAGGGATGGAGTTTGTGTGAGGAGACTGCCGCAGAGATACAAGTCAGGAGATTTTAGACAAATCAAGATGACTGACTCCTCATTTTCAGTCTTAGACATTCTCAAGCTAAAGTCAGTATGATAGTGGGGAAAAGACAAAATATTTTTGAATTTACTTCCCAGTTTTGCCACTTATCCTGTATAACTTTGGGAAAATAATCTAACTTGTGGAAGCTCAAGTGTCTTTATTATTAAACTGAGTAATGGCAATATTTTTCTTACAATTATTTTGGAGTACTAAAGGAGTCAGTATGTGTGAAGCAGTTTCATACCTAGAAAGTACGATTCAAATGTCAATTACTTAAGTCAATTATATAAAGACATCCAGGAATGTCAAACCATGCTGTAAACAAAAGCTAAATCTAAATTCTTGGAAAAGTCTGGTAACAGGGCAAAAATATTTTTCACATCACTTTTTCCCCCTCATAGAATAACTTCCTGGATGTTTAGTTTCCTTCTTAAATAGATACTTCCCTTCTATCTAATTATGCAGCATTTTACAGTTTCATCAGCTATCAGCAAAATCAAGCTGTCCTCGTTTGACTTGGAATGTCATAGAAATGATAAACTAAACAGCTTAGAATAGCACAAACTGGAAAGCAGAGTGTAACCCTCTAAAATCTCAACTGTCTAAATCCAAACCTAAATCTAGAATCTTAACCGTTATCTACAGATTGTACACTTTAATACTTAAGAAGGGATTAAAATCACATATGTTCATGAGCGCATTGCTGTTATTACACTGCATTTGTTAAGTTCTCATTAGCATGTGGTCTTCATCTCAACAGTGTAAAGCTATGGAGTAATTTGAAGTATGCCTCTGAAATTGCCTTCCACACTGACTAAAAAATGAAAATAGGCCGGGCGCGGTGGCTCACGCCTGTAATCCCAGCACTTTGGGAGGCCAAGGTGGGTGGATCACGAGGTCAGGAGATGGAGACCATCCTGGCTAACACAGTGAAACCCTGTCTGTACTAAAAATACAAAAAATTAGCCAGGCGTGGTGGCGGGTGCCTGTAGTCCCAGCTACTTGGAGGCTGAGGCAGGAGAATGGCAAGAACCCAGGAGGTGGAGCTTGCAGTGAGCCAAGATCATGCCACTGCACTCCAGCCTGGGCGACAGAGAAAGACTCCATCTCAAAAAAGTGAAACATAAAAAAAAAAAAGAAAAAATATTACCTCTCCAGGCTTTGAACATAACTGTGTAATTTGGAAATAATTTATTCTCCCACTATCTTAGTGTTTACCATTTAAGAGACATGTTTCTCTAGGAAAAAAATGTTTATCAGGAATAACGTTTTTTAAAATGCTGAGAAGGTTACTCTCCTGCTATTTTATAATGTTCATCAGAAAAAGCATAAATGTACATTCTGACAACTTTCAGGTTTATATTAATGAACATTCTCTTTTCTAAGCCTCAAAGACTGATTTCTAATGATATAAGCACATACATATTTCTAAATATTGAAAGCTTTGAGGTACTTCCCTCTTTTCACTAGAGTTGGGACATTTTCCATATCTTTCACTCTTCTGTGAAGGATGACTTACCCGAGTTCCCACGAAGGTGTCTCATATAGGCCTTGTCTTAGTCCTTCCAAGCTACTATAAAAAAAAATACCATAAACCTGATAGTAATAAGCAACAGAAAATTATTCACAGCTATGGAGGCGGGGAAGTCCAAGATCAAGGCACTGGCAGATGTGGTGTCTGATGAGGGCTTACTTTTGGTTCATAGAGGGAGCCTTCTCACTGTGTCCTCACAGAGTGGAAGGGATGAGGGGACTTTCTAGGATCTCCTTCATAAGGATACTAATTTCATTCCTGAGAGCTCAACTCTTGTGGCCTAATCACCACCCAAAAGGCCCCACCCCCTGTTCTCATCTGTCTGTCCCTAACCCCAATTTAACTAATCCCTGAGGAGAAACTGGTAGAAGGTAGAAGGTTCTGAAAGGTTCCTCTATACTGAAATGGGTGCCTCTGGTTTCAAAGTACACTTCCCAGGAGTTACGGAGAAGAACTAACTGTACTTTACTGATAACTAAAAACAACAACAACAACAACAAAACAACAGTTTTCTTTTGCATTCCTTATAGGGTGGTGTATATATTATTTTACCTGAGCCTGAGCAAGGATGCGTCCAATATTCCTACCCCATATAAAAGCAACTCTCCTCCTTTTGGTATTTTCACAGAAATTTTGCACTTTCACAATAGGCGTTCATTCTACAGAGACAGGCCTTGACAATTGAGCAAATGATCATTTTGCTAATTCCATATTCATGTATGACTCATGACTCATCCAGCAACACTGTGGAGGCTTCTTTGTGAGAGGCGGCAGCTGCTTTACATGAAGCATCATTACTAAACAGTTTTTTAAAAAGAAGATGTGCAGAGAATAATTCCCTTGCTTAAAATCTAGGTAGTTTTTCAGGTTTAGAAATGTAGTGAGGGCTCTGCATTTTATTGTAGGTTTATAAACAATGACACTTTAACACCCCTGTATCCACAAAAAAGACAGCAGGAAGCAGTGGAGATCATGAAAGGTGGGAAGCTTGGGTCTTGATTTTATTTTAATTTGCTCTCCCCTAGCGGGACGACTGTGGGACCTTTCATTTAATGAGACATTCGGAAAAATAACTATGAATCTCCTGAAAATGCAAACTTCTATCTCTTCATAGGTGCCAAGTATTTTATTTTCTGTGTTTTTAATCAGATGTCCATGGTAGTTAGCATATTCTCAACTGAGTCTTTGATTCCCAGGAGGTTAAGAACTACCCTTCTATGTGGTCATTCTCATAATAGGGTTCCATGGCATGGACCATTTTGCTCCCTCCCAATTCTCACCCAAGGATGATCAGAATGACAGATCCTGACCAAAAAGAAAGAGGCTTCATTTTCATAAAACAATGTATAAATACAGACTTAATTGCTACAGAACGTATTCCTGATTATTGTAGATTTTGGGTCAATCACTGAGAAGACTGAAAAATTATTTTGATCCTGACACATTATGAAATTTACACTGGTGGACTTGAGGATGAGTTGGACTCTTGAAAGGATTTCTGTATACTGCTCTTTGAAACAAAGGGAAGGAATTTAGTTGAAGCTTAACTTTTGTATTTATTGTAACAGCAAGAGCAGCACTCTGCCTTTTCTGTGTCTAAGTGTCTTACTGTTGACATGTTGGGGGATCATCAGGGAATCCAGATTTTCTGCCCTTAAATCTGGAGGGTAGGTTATTTCTGCCACTCTCCTCTCATGCCTCACTCTGATGAATGGTCTATATGTGGTCACTCCAGCTGCTAATTTACATGTCTTTAGCCCTGTGTGTACTGGAGCTCTCACAGGATGCTTTGGAAGTGCTTCATGTCCTTTCCTTTGAACATTCTACCTCACTAGTATTCCCAGATAACAGATACATATCAAATCATGTCTTGCTGAAGAATCAGGTGTTTCTGTTTTGTTTGTTTGTTGTTTTTGTTTTTTAAACCACAGCAATATAATGAGAAGTACAGAGGCTATAGCTATAACAAATGTACTTCCTTTTCCTGCATTAGGATTGGGATTGGGCTCTACATCTATTCAAATGAGGTTTTTTTTTTTTTCATGTAGATTCCCCCTTCACCTGGAACGTTAACTACCTCCCACCCATTATTTCCTCAGAGCTGACTTTAGGTCTTTCAACACCAGGTGCTCTCTGTCTTCTCCCATTAAATAATTTTTTTTTCCTGCAGAAAAAAGATTTTTATTTATTCATTTTTTCATTATTTTATTTGTTTGTATTTTAGAGATGGTATTTTATTATAGTGACTTTAGGTCTTCTAACACCAGGCTGTCTCTGCCTCCTCCAATCATTTATTCCTTCCTGCAGAAGGAAGATGTTTATTTACTTATGTGTTTATTATTGTATTATTTTATTTATTTATATTTTAGAGACGATGTCTCACTATGTTGCCTGGGCTGGAGTGTAGTGGCTATCCACAGGCAGAAGCGTATCACATTGCAGCCTCGAACTCCTGGGCTCATGTGATCCTCCTGCCTCAGTCTCCTGAGTCCAGAAGGAAGGAGCTTTAAATCCCATCTGGGTCACTTCTGCCTGGCTCAGGCTTGAGCATGATGCTAATTTCAGCTCTCCCTCTGGGAGCATTGCTTCCTGCATTCTGCCCTGAACTCCTGCAGTCTTTTTACCATTCCACTGGGATATGACTAATACGTAGCCCCATCCTAACAGGCTCCAAGCAGATAGGTCTCTGATCTTTTTCAAACCTCCTCTCCCTCCTGTCTTTCCACGTTGTCTTTCTTTCCCTCTCATTTGCTTGTTCTCTGCATTTATCTCTGCCCACTCTGCCCTTGGCTCCTGCCCTCTGGACACACTGGCGGGTGTTGTCACTGTTCCTCCTTCACAGAACACAATATCAGACACGTGGGAGGAATTTGCTGTGACCTCTACTTAAAAGACAATTCAAGGCTTGCTTCTCAACACCTTTCAAGTCTTTGCTCAAATGTGTCTGCTAAGTTCACACTTTCTAGGTCACACTGTTTAAAATTACAACCCTTCCCTAGTCTCTTTCTCTGTTTTATTTCTCTCCATAGCACTATCTGCATCTGCCATTATATGAATTTACTCCATTTATTTGTTTACTGACTGTGTCCCCACAATTTAACTACAATGTAATTGCCATGAGGGAAGGGATTTTTGCCTGTGATGATCATTGTGCCTGGAATAGTGCTTGCCACTTTTAAGGATGTCAATAAATGTTTGCTGAAAGAAAGTTATGAAAGAGGCTTTTTAGTTAGAATAAATATAAATAAATAAAGAGAATTGTGTTTAGAGTACCCATTTACTTTGGGAGTGTAGAATCTGTACTCTTACTGGGAAACTAACCATTTATGAATAAACTCCTTTATACTTTATAAAAGAGAAGCCCTGTATCAGACATTTTCAGCCATCTCAGCCCAACTGAAGAATTGCCCAAGCTCGGGACCATGTAGAAAGTTTTCAGCCTAGGACTGGATGGCATATTATGTTTAGTCTTACGTGGCAACTTTGATTGATAAGTCAATTGGATCATAAATCAATCAAATCATAAATCACTGTGTTGGAAGGCATCCAGAGACATTTCCTGGCATAGCGGAAGGTGAGCTAGGATTGAGAAAAAAAAACAGGGACAGTTGTTTGTGTTGCTTTCCTATTAAATTCTAGTCACACTAGGGATTATATTCTGATATAAAACCATTGAGAATAAGTTTTAGAAGTAATGTGAAAACCCATTGCCACTCTGTCAAAATGACATTATGTAGAATTTCTCAATAAACCAGATTTACTTGATTCCAGGACTGAGATGAACTCAAAAATAAATAAATGAATAAAATTTAAAAAGTAGTGAAAATTTATCACCACTGTCAGAAAAAAAAAACAAAAAACCCAGGTTGTCTGGTTTTTTGGTGATATTCAAGGTCAGCACAATTTATCATTAATATTGTGTGACAAAAGTGTTATTAGATGACAAAAATGTATGTTAATAAAATGGTCAAAAAAGTGAGAATTTATTCCCTAGGGGAAACTGGCTGCTTGTAATTACAAACAGAAAAAGGATGCTAGGACAGCGGCTCCAACTATTTTAGTGGAAACAATCCATGCTACCAAGTAGATACTTCTAGAGTGTACAAAAACTTGATTTCATGCATGGACATATGTCTTCTTTGCTCCAATCCGGGCTCGGAAGCACAAGAGGAATTAAAGGTTCACAGGACATCTAATGGGAGTTCCAGAGGAGTCTGATAATTTATTTCATTCTCAGTCCTAATTAGAGAGGCCAGAGAAAAGCTTATCCTGGCTTTTCACAGGAGGAATTCTACCTTTGCACCCAGGGAGATGCAGAGATGATGACCTGCAGGAAGTCATGTAACAGGAAAGCTGCATTCAGCTGCTTCTGCTTCAGTCAAACAGCCAGTTATTGCACAACTCATCCGATCCGCCTTTCCTTCGCTAACAAACCCAAGCTAACTTGCCAGTGAGAATCATTCCTTTTGCAAATTGTGAAGAATCTCACACTGGCACATCTATTTTCTTCATCTTCTCACCTTTCACTATTTTATTTTATTTTTGCAGATGAAGTCTCTGCTATCCACGAAATTTCACTTGGTAATAAACAGGTTGAATCAAGCACAACCAAATAAAAGTAACACTGTTTTACTCATTTCACTTACTCTCTTTTACACAGCCTGATTTCCTTTCGGCAATACTGCTTAATTCTTACGCTGTTATTTAATATATCCATCTAGACCATTAACATACCTTTTTTTTTTTTTTTTGGCAGACTCTCGCTCTGGCCCCCAGGCTGGATGGAGTGCAGTGGCGCGATCTCCGCCTCCCAGGTTCCAGCGATTCTCCCGCCTCAGCTTCCCAAGTAGCTGGGATTTCAGGCACACGCCACCACACCCAGCCAATTTTTTTTTATTATTAGCAGAGACAGGGTTTCACCATGTTCGCCAGGCTGGTCTCCAACTCCTGAACTCAGTTCATCGCCCATCTCTGCCAACCAAAGTGCTTGGATTACAGGCGTGAGCCACTGCGCCCAGCCCTTTTTTTCTTTTATTGTCCTCTCTTAAACTGCCTCTTTCTTGAGTTAAAAAAAAGTAACCGTTTACTGTTTGCTTAGCTAGGCACTATTGTAATCTTTTAGCATAGACTCTTTTTTCCTTTTTATCTCTACTATTAAACCTGTGAGGTAGAAATTATTATTCCCATTTTTCCAGATGAGGAAATTGAGGACCAAAAGGTTAAGTAATTTGCTCAGCATCACAGAGTTAGTAAGTTCCAGATCTGGGATTTAAATAAAGGTCCGGGTTCTTCACTATTATACCATCTAGCCAGTTTTAGTGGAAATAGCTAATCTAATGGCTTTTTGGAAAGACTACAAATGAGACTAGAAGAGAGTAGAATGACTTAAATCCTGGCAGCTTTTACTTCCTACATAATCTTTCAATCCAGCTTCTCTTCATTCCTACCACTATTGCTCTAATTCATCTTTGCCTTCTTAATGGAGTTCTGTGTTTTCAGTATTTTTCTCATCAGAATTGCTCTTCCCACAGATGCAGAACTATCTTTCAAATGTAAATCTGACAGTGCCATTCCCTTCCGTATAATCCTTTGCTAGTTTCCCTTCACCTACACTAGCAGTTTTCAGACTGTTCATTGCATGCAGGTGCTTCAGGGATTCTGCCAATGTTCCATTACAATTTTAGTTTAAAATAGTTTTCCTGTTCTATATCTTTTTAGAAAGATAAAAAATGTTTCAATAAAATTTATTTTTAACCCCTCAAAATTGGTGCTAGGTTAAGGGGCAGGTCACCATATGGCTGCTCACGATGTTTCATTTAAGGAGCATTAAGAGCTTTGTACTAAGTATAGGAACTTTATGATAGAAGAAAATGTTTAGATCATCGGCAAAATGTAAATTTGTTCTTCTTTCCCCAAAGTGCTATAAAACAAAAACAAACAAAGCAAAACAACAGCAGCAAAAACCTAATTTTCATTGGTACTGATGTATCTTTGTTAAATATTTTTACAATGGGCCCAGGTGAAGTGTATGACCCAACCACATTCCTCTGACAAACTTATGTAGCTGATTTGGTTATTCCCAATTATTGGTTATTTTTACTGGATATGAACATTCCCCGATTTTTAGAGGTAGCTGAGGTGCTTGGGTTTCTTTTTTTTAATTATACTTTAAGTTCTAGGGTACATGTGCACAACGTGCAGGTTTGTTACATATGTATTCATGTGCCATGTTGGTGTGCTGCACCCATTAACTCATCATTTACATCAGGTGTATCTCCTAATGCTATCCCTCCCCACTCCCTGAACCCCACAACAGGCCCCAGTGTGTGATGTTCCCCTTCCTGTGTCCAAGTGTTCTCATTGTCCAATTCCCACTTATGAGTGAGAACATGCGGTGTTTGGTTTTTTTGTCCTTGCGATAATTTGCTGAGAATGATGGTTTCCAGCTTCATCCATGTCCCTACAAATGACATGAACTCATCATTTTTTATGGCTGCATAGTATTCCATGATATATATGTGCCACATTTTCTTAATCCAGTCTATCATTGTTGGACATTTGGGTTGGTTCCAAGTCTTTGCTATTGTGAATAGTGCAGGTGCTTGGGTTTCTAACCTTCTGACTCTGTCACCAATAGTAGGTGCCAAAATGAAGGCAAATCTCAGACCCAATGCTACCACGTATAAAACCATCTATTAGCAGAAATTACAAAAGGGATTGTCTGATCACATCTGAAAACTTGAAGTCAGAGCTCTCTGTCTTTGAACTGTGCACAAAACACTCACTCAAGACAAATGTGAAGCATCTTAGCAACAGAATTCAGTTAAATCTCAGGTCAGGCAGAAGAAATGTCTGATTATTTGCTAATACAGGTCTACTTCTGAATCCTAAACCTGCTCCAGAATGTACAGGGGGCTGAGCTCAATGCATTGTTGGTAGAGTGGGAATCTTAAATTTTCTAGTCAATGGACATCTCTTGGATATTTTTTAATATTGTCATGCTAATTGACACAACTAAGTAGTTAACCTAAGTTGTTAAAGACAGCCTTACACTTAGAGTAACTATATTTGAATTGTAAATTTCTGAATAACGGGCTTTTATGTAAGTAACACTGGAGTTGTTAACTAACCACCTCTAAAATATAGAGTAAAACTAACCCCAAACACCAGCCTTATTTTTAAAATAAAATAAATGGGATCCAAAAATTCACTGTGTTACAGCAAGATGATCTCGAGATATGAGACCTAGACAATACGGGGGATGTTGCCTGGTTCCTCCAAATAGTGAGAAATTTTGTCGGCTAGCACAGTTTTTGAGAACATGAGGTAGACTGAGAATATGAGGTAATCACTAATAAATTCATATTTAAACATGAGTTTTCATGAAATTTTATGTTATATATTGAACTATGTTGAATATTTCAAAATAAATGACAAAGCAAATAAGTAAATTTCTGCCAAGAGTCTCATGATGTTGATTACCCCATCACCATGAATTCTAAACCAAATCCACTTCCCTGTAGTCTTTTCTAAGAATAAGCAATTTATTTCTTTATCTCTAGTTATTTTTCACATCCTTAATCTCTTGTTCAAGAAGATATTTGATTAGAAAATTGCAAAAGAACTTGAAAGAGAAAACAAGAACAATAGAATAGAGCAAAATATTTTCTCACACAAAACAGAAAGAATTACATGTTTATTAAACAAAGCTTTGAGAATTGTTAGCCACTTTCTTCATGAGTATGAGTAACCAATGCTTTTAAGTTGTGAGCAATGAAAAAAATAATCTTTTTTATGCAAATGTAGTTGATATCAAGTTTAGTGTTAACCCTGCGAAATAAGTTCAGCATATAGGCTACAAACATAGACTTCAGGTAAGCTACCTGGATGTCACATCTGCTTCTGCTCTTTATTAACTGTGTAATTCTGGACATATTACTTAATCCCACTAGTTCTTGGTTCCTTCATATTTAACACATGTAAAATGGTGGATAATACTAGTAGTACATACTACATGGGGGGATAGGAGGAATAAATGAAGGCATAAAGTGCTATGACTATTTTGAAATTATGATTATTTGTTTCTTTCTCTACATCTCACTTAATCTGCTTTACTCACCCACTGAGTTGCTGCCTTAGGGATGTTCAAGAGTTTTCTGGAGTACAGAAGTTTCAAGGAAGGACCTCCCCTGAAATTCAGTTCATATTGGTAATAACATATTGCTAGTGCACACTAGTGTGTCGTCAGAATGACCATGCCCCATGAAGACAGGTGTTTTTCCACTCTCTACCAACCTTGGGTATTTCTCCACTGTACGGGCTAGAGGAAAAGTCACCTGCTAGCCAGTCTTCATAGACTGTCCAGCAGCTACCTCCATCTGATGTCCTGTGAATTCTCTAAGGTGTTGTGGAGGGAACAGAAGATGAACCCGTGCTATTCGCAGAAGACACAACACCACCATTCCTTTCTGAGTTATCAGGAAGTTCCATAATATCTCTTTTTTCTGCAATTTGTTGACTTCTACTTTCTAAATTTTAAGCCAAATCTTCCCATTCTTTGTCAGTAGCCATTGCTACCTTCCCACTGCAAAAGCCCCAGGAGCAAGATATTCCTTCTCCCCATCTGCAAGGAACCAGGATGGGCCCAGGACCTGAGCTCAGCTAAAAGACATTCATGCTGGGATGGTTAGTAATGGTCAGTGGCAATGGCTATAGTGTCTCTGAAGTGGAAACTGCCATGCAACACGTGGTTTGCATCCTGGCTAGACTCTCCCTGATGAAAGTAGAGTTCTGGTTTTGGAACTTTAGCGTTATCTTGGTTCCTGTGCATTTTCCAAGCTTTTTCCATCCTCTTTGCAATTCTGTGAGCCCTCATATCTTCTCTTGGCTTCTCCCTTTTGCTTAAATGCTGAGAGTTGGATTTTCTGACTAGCTAATGAACAATTTTGAATACAAAGAAATACAGTGTTTCCTAAAAGAAAATCAACAGCCCTCTGTCATTAATAAACATCATGCAAATCCTGAAGAAATGCTACCAAATACTTAGCCTGTTCAGAGAGTTCACCTAAATGGCTCATCACTGGTCAGCTTATTATATTTGCTATTATTCCTAGCATTCACTCTCTTTTTCTCTCCAGATCCCAGAATAATGCCTTTTTTGCTACTTCTGTTTAAATTGAGTGACCATTTGAAAATATGTCTCTATAATTTCAAACTCTTTTTATGTTGTGCAAGTAAAATTAAACTTGAAAATAAATTATATGCAGAATGTATGATTTTGGGGATTCATTGCAGTGGCCTCATTGCATCTAATGCCTGACTATGTTAGTTGATGTCATCAAATGTAGCTCATATAATTAAACTTGTAAGGTTTTTTTTTCACATTTTTCTATATTAGATCTCTAGGTAGATACTGTTTGAGTAAAGGGTTATTTTACTTCCAAAAATTGAAAATCTATGCTCTGGCTCTGCAAAATGCTTTCAATTATCTGGCGTATGTTTATAAGACCCTCTATGATTTGAGCATAACTAACCCCTTCAGCCTCATTTCTTTTAATGCAATGACTCATTTTTTAAAACGTTCTGACAACTGCTCAGCTTGTTGTCCTACTTCTTTCCTCCTACACAATGTGTTGTTTTTGCCTCATGTTTTCCCTTCTGCCTGGAACGCTTCCTCCACTCCTGTGAGCTGGCTAAATCCTGCTCTTTCCTTAAGACTTATCTATAGTGATAGTCCCCATACACGTTTATTTGGCTGAGTTAGGAGCCTGCAAATATAGCCCCGTGAAACCACGTATAGGTGATCTTTCTCACCATGTGTGCTCATTGGTTTTGCACTGTTTGTTTCCTGTCTGCCATAATGGAAGAGGACCTCCTTAAAGTCAGGAAAATCACGATGCTTGGCCCAAACTGAGACTCCATCCATGTTGACACACAGTATGATACCAATTTGTGAACAACAGAGTTCTTTATACATTTGTTAAA
The DNA here is from genome assembly GCF_000001405.40 of Homo sapiens. Taxonomy (NCBI): domain Eukaryota; kingdom Metazoa; phylum Chordata; class Mammalia; order Primates; family Hominidae; genus Homo; species Homo sapiens. The sequence goes on along the minus strand of NC_000001.11, from coordinate 239,117,854 downwards.
AAAGTCCAAAAAGTTAAATTTCCCCATAATCCATATCTACTCTAAGACATTTCAATGTACGTAGTTTAAAAAAAAAGAAATGAGAATATGATTTATATTCTCTAACAACCTGCTTTTGTCTTCCCAATTAAATGATAGTTTGAGAATTTTTGCAATGATTTTTTTCTCAACTGTTCACATAGTGATGTGGTACTACAGATCAGAGCCACACAACTATTGTGATTCGCTTTCCTTTGTAAACCTGGTTTTTTTTTCTTATTCGTATGTTCGCTATTTTTGTTTATTTCAGTGCTGTGTTTTTTGCATGTATACATCTGTATGTCTGAAAGTTTGTAGCGCTTCATTTTTAACATAGGAATTCAAAAATTCTAATAGGATGTGTATGCGGGAATAAGAGGTCCCAGTGTTTCCTTTTGCTCTAGAAATTTCTCATGTGTAATTAGTTCGATTATTAATTTCCATCCTTTTTTCTTTCTATAGGCTGCTAATGGGTATTGGCTTGCCTGGTTTTGCCAAGCATGTACTTTACCATTTTCTATGTGTTTTAGCCTTTCCCTTTCCCATAATTTTAATAAGAGTGGGTCATCACAAATTCAGTTTCTAGAACTATCCATTTTGTTACTGAATTATTACTGAGCTATTAAGTTTTGCAATCATGCTTTCTATTTCCAAGAACGCTTCTTGCTCTGATTGCCTCACTTTCTTTGCAAGTTGCTATTGTTTTTATCACTGCAATTCTCTTAAATCCAACTATGAACACTAATTAGATATTTTTAAGTCCGTTCATTTCTTTCTTTACATTTGCTTTCCTTGGTGAATTCGCTCTTATTTTGGAGTTTGAAGTTATTATTTCTGGCAGTTCTTTTCCGCCTGGGCCCAGTGTTGTATACAGATTGCTCACAGGGTAGCTCCCAGTTTTGGAAGCTGATGCTGGCTCCTCCAGGGATTCTGTGGCCCAGTGGTAATTTCTCACGCAGCATCTGTGGCCAGAGATTTCTACTTCCCCAAGTGTGCTGTCTGCATCTGAGTGAAACCTGCAATGTGGCAGGAGCAAGGGGTGGTGGATTCTGCTTCCAGCTATTCCAAATTCAAATGTCTAATAGAGATTCTCAAAATTTAACTTAGTTGTTGCTGTTGCTCTTCTTCCTTCTTCATCTTAAGTTGCCTAAAGGTTAGTTAATTGACCCCAAACTATTTATCAACTTGATTTCTCAGCTATTTGAAATGAATAGTTAATTATTACATATTGTTAATAAATATAAAAATAAATTCTTATAAATGAGGGCACTAAGTTTTACTAAGTTGTATTTCTTCAGAATCGTGATCCATTGAGGTTTTATTAATTACCGTGCATAAGTAACTGCATTAGTTTGTTCTCACATTGCTATAAATACCTGAGACTGGGTAATCTATAAAGGAAAAAGGTTTAATTGTCTCACACTTCTGCAGGCTGTACAGGAAGTATAGCAGCATCGGCTTCTGGGGAGGCCTCAGGAAGCTTACAATCATGGCGGAAGGGGAAGGGGGAGCAGGTCTCTCACATGGCGAAAGCATAAGCAAGCGGGTGTTGGGGAGAAGCCACACTTTGAAAACACCAGATCTCATGAGGACAGCACCAAGGGAACAGTGGTAAACCATTCACAAGAAATCCACCCCATGATCCAATCCGCTTCCACCAGGCCCCACCTCCAACACTAGAGATTACATTTCAACATAAAATTTGGATGTGGCCAATATCCAAACTATATCAGTAACATATTTGTTTAATTATTGAGATTTCAAAACCTTTCTTTTTATTTCTTCTTATTGAAAATGATCTTATCTATTGTGACTATCTACAATATCACTGAAATTTCTAGTCTCACTGTGGGATATCAAAGTAATCTCCACTGAGATTTATTTGAGATTATATAGAACCATTTGACTGAAGAATTTGTGTTTTAAAAATTTCTTGTTAAATATCCCCAGGAGCTGTATACTTGGTTATTATTTTGAATGAGATTTTTTTCCATCGTACATTCTATTTGGTTAAAACTTATCTGAGAAACATTTGGTGTTTCATATACTGACTGGCAAATGTTCATCTTACACATTTCCTCCTTCTGTCTTTCAGCTAAGTTTACTGTCTTTTTAAATTTATGTTAGACATATTTCACACACACAAACTAATATAACAATTCTAATAGTCTGTTAAAAATGATATTCAGCTTATATGCTTTTGGTATTTTAAAAGCTATAAATGGGCCAGGCATGGTGGCTTACTCCTGTAATCCCAGTATTTTGGGAGGCTGAAGTGGGTGGATCATGAGATCAGGAGTTTGAGACCAGCCTGGCCAAGATGGTGAAACCCCTTTTCTACTAAAAAATACAAAAATTAGCTGGGCATGGTGGCGGCTGCCTGTAATCCCAGCTACTCGGGAGGCTGAGGCAGGAGAATTGCTTGAACCTGGGAGGCTGAGTTTGCAGTGAGCTGAGATCGCGCCACTGCACTCTAGGCTGGGCAACACAGCGAGACTCCATCTCAAAAAAAAAAAAAAAAAGCTATAAATGTAGTTGAAATCCCTTTTATACTTCTCAGCCTTATTCCTTCTCATTTATTACCAGAAAAATACCTACATTTTTTAAGTAATTGTGTACCTTTCCCACCTGTGATTTAATAATTTTGTTACCTATGCATTTGTCCATAAACAATGCACAATTTTTTTTATTTTTTTTTTGAGACGGAGTCTCGCTCTGTTGCCCAGGCTAGAGTGCAGTGGCACGATCTCGGCTTACTGCAAGCTCCGCCTCCCGAGTTCATGCCATTCTCCTACCTCAGCCTCCTGAGTAGCTGGGACTACAGGCACCCGCCACCACTTCCGGCTAATTTTTTTGTATTTTTAGTAGAGACGGGGTTTCACCGTGTTAGCCAGGATGGTCTCGATCCCCTGACCTCGTGATCTGCCCGTCTGGGCCTCCCAAAGTGCTGGGATTACAGGCGTGAACCACCGTGCCTGGCCACACAGTGTTATTTCATATGTTTTATACTTTGCAAAATGATAATATACTACATGTATACTTCTAAACATTGTATTAATACTAAATTTTTTGTTTCTAAAAGTTTTTCGCATGTCCAATCCCAGATCTAGAAGTTGGAGAAATGGACTCCAATTCTTCAAGGGAGATGTTGAAAAGTACTGTGACTATTTACAAAGAGAAATTACTACAATAAAGAAAAACAAAACCAGCAAAAAATATCCGGATATTAACATATAATTTGATTTTGTAAACATGGTATTTATCACTGCATAGTATTTCCCCACTTGGCTATTCTACATTTTATTTACCATTCTTCTATCATTGTATATCTATGTTATATACTTGAAGAATATTATTGTAGTCATAAATATCATTGCAATAAGTCTCTTTCTAAACACATTTTTGTGCATGTTTTAAGTTTTTTATGGTAGATCTGTGAATTGGAAACACCTTTAAAATGCATGATCTTTTAAAAAATGCTTTTTTAAAAATGAGCATCTCAGTTGTCTTTTATAAAGAGTGTGCTCTTACTCTCTGCCATCAACAAGGAATGAAGATGGTTGAGTTTTGATTTTTCTAATTTGATACATTTTAATAATGGAATATATTTTTTACTACATATGAACATCTGTCTTCTGGTCAGCATCATATCTCATATGAATACCTACTTAACATCTTCAAGTTGCATGTCAAGATTACTCTGTGTCAACTGGAAAACAAAATATCAGTTTAGAAGAAAATATGGAAGACTATAAACCTGTAGTCCTTGGATGTTTCTAATTTTTTAATATGCTCTATGCACTGACTTTTCAATGGTAGAAAAACTTGATCATTATTTGGAGCCGATAATTTAAAACATTTATTTTCTTTGAATAAGCCTCAGTTCACAGGAAACTTTGGACATATTAGACTAGGAACACAAACAGTGGATGCAGACAGGTTTGGATTTGACTCCTGACTCGTCCACGTCAAACAATTGTCTTTGGGCCTCAGACAGACTCATTCAAGAGCCCCTGAATACATTAATTTATATGAATTGAAATTCAAACAAATTGAAATGAATAGACTTAAATTTATTTCAAAGAAAAATGGTTCAAGTACTATTTTAATTTTTGAGTGAATGAATGGGTCAATATAACTTATCTTTCTGTTTTACATTACATTTAAAGTGTTGCAAAGATTAAATAAACTTAAATATGAATATACACAGAGACCCTGAATGACAGTAGTGGTTTCATAAATAGTAATAATAATTGTCCTTATGGTGGTGGTTGTTTTTGTTACTATGAAGCTAACATTGGCCCTTTGGCTGTAGGCCGTGGAATAGTTATCTGTGTAGGTCTGAACGTCTGAAGTTACTGAAAGTTTCATTCAAGTGAATTGAAAATCTGCACCTATAATGCATTCTCCATCAATACATGTCATATGCTTTAGCCCTTAAGAATTTATTTGTGATACTGGTCAAAGACAAGACTGTATATAGTCTGAATTTTTTTTAGAATGCATATACATGCTTTATAATAAAACAGGACTATTTTAGCTTTCCATATCCATTTTCATGGGTTTAAATTATGTGCTTGGAAAATATTTAGATACTATAGGAGATAGCAGAAATTATCACAAGAAGGAATTCGTATGATTATAGAAAATATATAAAATAAGGGATGATCAGATTGATCATATTTACTCAGAAGCCAGACTTGTCTGTTTCTTCTGATACTGCTAAAAACCATTATGAATTCAAATTCTATTGAGGTAATATTTTTCAGACACAGGATGGGAGCTGAGAGACTAAATATGCAAACAGATAACCACCAGACCGTATTTTAAAACAGAACTCTGACCATATTTAAAAAATTAAACAGTTTGCAGCAACCAGTCCAGGAAGGCAGACAACAACCTCTGTAGCAATCAGCTAAAAATGCAAGTAATCAATAACTGCCAGCTTCCATAATTTTTGCTCCTGCTTCCACCTTAAAACCAACCAAAGAAAGCCAAATATGCTCCCCCACCCAGTCGCATAGGAAGTCCCACTTCTACTTTTGCCCACCTCCAGCTTCTCCATGCCAACAACCTCTTGTCAGGGTGCACCTGAAGCCTTCTATTTTTTCCGCTATGAAGCTTTCCCTCTCCTCTGCCTGCTTGTGAGCTTCTGCCAAACGCAAGTGATGGTGGCTGACTCTCTTGCTGTAACAAGCTCTGAATAAATAGCTTTTGTTTGTTCTCATTTGAGTGGGCTTTATTTTCACATAACAGAAGAAGAAACTTTATTTCATATAAAGAATCAAATGAAGTCCTTATATATGAATGTCTCATACAATTATTCATTATAAGGGATTTCAAGCAGTGAAAATATTGAAGATTTGCATGTGTTACGTTAATTAGTCACCACTAGGTGATTTTGTTTATCTTAGGTTTATGATGCCTTGGTTATTTTATCACTCTCCTTTCAAATACATTAACTTGCCTTTGTTATAGCTGGAACAGCAGGTTTATTAGCTGCTAAGCTCTCATCCATTGTTAGCAATGTAGTTAAGTATACGATAATAATCTCAGAGATAGCTTCTTATGTGTAAGGCCTGTATTGTGCTAATTTTAACTGGAGAAGTTAATATTTAAGAGATACATTTAACAGCTGGCCATGTTTAGTTTGTGCACTGGTTTTAGAAAGCTTTTGAAGAAAGAGTGTACTTGAAGGAATATAACTACATACATATCAAAGTCCTTCCTTGGCTATATGCAGGAAGTATGTTTAAAATTACAGCTTAGCTAATAAAATGATAGGTGAACTCATTGCACACATAAACATTAATAATAACATTGACGTATATTGCAAAATTGTTATTGTGCTTGAGTACCCCACTGGATTCATTTTAAATTGAATGGATGTTCCACAGAAAGGAAACAATACAAAGTCCATAATGGGCAATACAAACTTACAAAGTTATCCAGTTAGTAAAGAGTTCTGATTTTAACATTCTAATGAATGTCAGCTTTCATACAAAACTCTACTATCCTGAATTTTTATCAATGCCTTTTCTTTTGCCTTAAGAAAAAACTCTTGCTGAAATTATTCAACTGATGGAGCTGATTACCTTTAAATATTAAAACAGAAAATCATGAATCTTAACGGATATTGTTTGAATTTGATTCAATTTAAAATATTTACAATTATAATCTGATAGAAATTTTAATACAGAAAATTTCTTTAATTATAAAGACACTTAAGGCAATATCAATTTTCTAAGTATAGTTTTGCTATGTCATATAAATTCTGGTAGATGCATTCTTTGCTCTGTAGCTTTATAAATTGAGGGCATTTTCTTTTTTGATCCAAGATTTATCAAGTATTGTGTTTTTTCATTTCTAAGCAGATACGATTATGTTAAATAAAATAAAAAACTTGTTTTTTTAATACTTTATTTCCAATTTCATTGGTTTATAACAATGTGACATTTCTTTCTCCCTCATATATGTATATACACGCATATATATGTTGTATATGTATATAAATATACAAAATTATTATTTTACTCAATTGCTTTTCTTTTTTATTTTTAACTTTTATTTTAGGTTTGGGGTACATACGAAGGTTTGTCACATAAGTAAACATGTGTCACATGGGTTCGTTTTACATAGTATGTCATCACCCAGGTATTAAACCCAGTACCCAATGGTTATCCTTTCTGCTTCTCTCCCCCTTTTTATCTTTACTTATGCTACAAAATCTACCTGTTTCTCTCCAATTTCTTCTTTTGTCTTCATCTTTTTTAAAAATATGAAACCTTGAACAACTTGTATTTATATTTACTGTTGCCTTTATTTAATGAGTGATCATCATTTCTATCAACTCTTATAGTCACACTACTATACCTGGACACAAGTGCTAGTTATTCTCTAACAAGAACTTTACCCTGCTTGTCACCTCGCCGGTAAAATTGAGCTCTTTTGAACGTATTTACAGCTGGACACGGTGGCTTACATCTGTAATCCCAGCACTTGGGGAGGTCAAGGTGGGCGGATCACATGAGGTCAGGAGTTCGAGACTGGCCTGACCAACATGGTGAAACCCTGTTTCTACTGAAAATACAAATATTAGCTGAGTGTGGTGGTGGGCACCTGTAATCCCAGCTACTCGGAAGGCTGAGGCAGGAGAATCGCTTGAACACGGGAGGCGGAAGTTGCAGTGAGCTGAGATCGTGCCACTGCACTCCAGCCTGGTGACAGAGTGAGAGTTTGTCTGAAAAAAAAAAAGTATTTACTCCCCTCCTTTCCTCATCATCACAACCTGAAAGAGAATTTTAAAATTCTCTTTTCCTTCACCCACCTTAACTCAGAGTTTTAATTGGGAGAGTTTAACATTAATATTTTTAATCCCAGGTTCTTTTTATGATTTTCCTTTCAATGTCAAGAATTTCTTTTCAATTTTAAGCATTTACACTCATTTGATTTCAAGAGTTTCTCATTAATTTTCAGCACTCTTATGGTTGTTTTATTGCGTTTCTCAAGTGTCTCATTATCCATTTTAATTATATGTATATGAAGCCTGCGGTCTGTCCCCACCCCTCCCCATTGTTCATCTCCTTGACTCCACTTTTCCTGGGATAATTTTGTTGGTTACACAAAGAACAAGAATGATATAGTCCCTAAAGCATAGACCATCCACGTACATCTTTTTTTACTTCTATCAGGGATTACTATCTTGTTTAGGAACGAAATAATTAGGTTACAATTCTAATTTCTCAATATTCTATGAGTGGCTTTCTGCTACTTTCTCACTTCTGATGAAGCAAATTAGTTGCCTGTGACTGGTCTGATTTGTTCCTTTTTTAAGGTGACCTGTTTCTTGTCTCTAGAAGCTTGTAAACACTTCTTTTTATTTTTGTATTGGAAGCTCCACAATTTCTCCAACCCTTTTTAAAAAGTCATTAACTTTGCCTGGATTGTGCATTGAACAATTTCGTCCGAAGGCCCAGCTCTTTCTTCAGTTCAAATGAAAAACAAAAATACATGTTTGATTTTATTATTTTGAGTCATCCATCTGTTTCTGTTCCTCCCTCTGAAACTCCTACAATTCACACTTAGTTCTCTCAGATCTCTCGTCCAGTTCTCACGTTTCCTGTATCATTTTTCATCTCTTCATATTTGTGACCCTGTACTTTAAGATATTTCTTACATTGTGTCATCGAGGCCACCAGGTCTGATCTTAACAGTGACTATCTTTTTTTTTTTTTTTTTGAGACAGTCTCACTCTTGTTGCCCAAGCTGGATGGAACGCAATGGTACGATCTCGGCTCACAGCAACCTCCACCTCCTGGATTCAAGTGATTCTCCTGCCTCAGCCTTCCAAGTAGCTGGGATTACAGGCACCCACCACTGTCCCTGGCTAATTTTTTGTATTTTTAGTAGAGACGGGATTTCACCATATCGGCCAGGCTGGTCTCGAACTCCTGACCTCATGTGATCCACGCGCCTTGGCCTCCCAAAGCTCTGGGATTACAGGCGTGAGCCAGTGCGCCCAGCCAATGTTTTTTGTTTTTTTTTAGTTTTATATTTCTATAAAGTCTTTGTACTGTACTTGAAGCTCACTAAATGCTCATTAATGCTCATGTTCTGGTCTGTGTCCTCCAAAATTTTTATTTTTTATGCGCTTAATCTAGGTTTTTGTTTTTCTCCTCCCTCTCTCTCTGCCTGCTGGCACCTTAGTGTACCATTATTGTTCTTTCCTTGCTTATTAATGTTCAGATCCGTATTCTGAGGTACCTGCAGTGAAAATAGCCAGATTAGTGGCAGAATGAACAGAATCTTATGGGCCAGTATTTGAGCAGCGGCAGGTTGTGAATTCCACCATCAGTGCACCAAAGATACCACTTTGTTTTCCAGCGCTCATCCCTCTCTTATCTATACAGAGGATTGAGACCGTCATTTAGCTTCCCAGATCTTTCGGAGTGGGAAGCTCAAGCTCATTCATGCTGATAGATGTATAGATGCTGATAGATGTACAGATGCAGATAGATGTACAGATGCTGATAGATGTATAGATGCTGATAGGTGTATAGATGTTCCCTTGGAGTTAAATGGATGCATTTTCCCCTGGGGTGACTAAGTTTTCATCAGGACACACTCCGTTAAGAGCCATTCCTTAGGTATTTTCAGTACTGTCTGTAGATTCTTACATGGCTCTCCAATACATAATAACAGTCCTGCTCCAGTTATTTTCTTCAAGCCTCTCTCATATATTCCAGACACCAGCAGATACTTGACTGCTGGTTGGATCTAACCTGAATCAAATGCTTCTTTTTTTTGGTGCTATACATACTTTTATTATGTATCTTCCACTACAGGAGTTGCCTCTACTTGTTCCCACACAAATCCTACATATCCTCTGAGAAGGAGTTCATTTTAGTCTTTCCAGGAAGACTTCCCCTATTCACAGCGTTCTTTCTTTCTTGTATTGGTCTTCTCCTTTCCTTAGTTTTACAGTTTAGAGACTTTATTTTGTTTGCTGCCTTAGCAGGGCTGAACACATAGTTGTAACTCAATGGATATTCATTTCTTAAATAAATGAATAAATTTATGCTAATATGAGTATTTCTGTGCAAGGTCTAATATGGGAAACATATATGTCACAGCAACTGGTACTGGGTGATGCACTTCATAAGAGAAACAGTATTTGTAAAGTACTTTGTAAGACGCAGAAAGTGGTTGATCACCGGGAATCTTTTCTTTCAGTGCTCCTTCCCCTATCAATGTATTTATATAATTTTGCTAAAATATCATTGGCATAATGTGTAGGCTAAGTGTGTTGAAATGACCTGATATCAAATTCTGTGTCTTAATCATCTATTTTACCCCCAGACCTTAGTACAGGGTGGACCTCTGATTGGCAAATGTTAGTGTGCATAAGAATAGCACACAGGGGCCCTGTTAAGATGATGATTCCCAGCCAGGTGCAGGGGCTCACACTTGTAATCCCAGCACTTTGGGAGGCCAAGGCAAGCGGATCACGAGGTTAGAGGATTAGACCCTCCTGGCCAACATGGTGAAACCCGGTCGCTTGAACCCAGGAGGCGGAGGTTGCAGTGAGCCAAGATCATCACACTGCACTCCAGCCTGGCGACACAGCCAGACTCCGTCTAAAAAAAAAAAAAAAAAAAAAAAAGATGATGATTCCCTTGCCCCTTCCCTGAACATCTAATTTAGTAGATGTGAGGCAAATCCCAAGTATCTACATCCTTAATAAGTATCCCCAGGTGGTTGTGATGTAGGCCATTAAAAACCACACCTGGAGACCCACTGGTTCAGTGCCTCAGTGAATATTTGTTGAAATTAATTAACGCATCTAAGGAAGCTTCATCATTTATAAGACACTATTCTTTAAGCCATAAGCTCAAGATTATTTTCTCTTAAAAGAGATTTTTAAATATACATTTTTCCTATTAATGGAGATATAGCTCTGACTTGAATCCCCAAGTGAAACATGCCAGGTGACTGATTGGGGTTGAGATAATTTGTGTAATTCTGTGAAAGAAAAGGCGAAATACACCAGAAGAGGAAAATCCATAGAGTCAGAAAGTAGATTAGTGTTTGCCAGGGGCTGGGGTGAAAGAAAGGGGGAGTGGCTGTTAATAAAAATGAGGCTTTTGGGGGTGAAATATTCTAAAATTAGATACTGATTATCTAATTAGATACTAATTCTAAAATTAGAGCAACCCTGAATACACTAAAAACCATCGGATAGTACATTTTAAAAGGATAAATGGTATAGTATGTTTCATGCGCATCTGTGTGAAGAGACCACCAAACAGGCTTTGTGTGAGCAATAAAGCTTTTAATCACCTGGGTGCAGGCGGGCTGAGTCCGAAAAGAGAGTCAGCAAAGGGAGATAGGGGCGGGGCCGTTTTATAGGATTTGGGTAGGTAAAGGAAAAAGGGGGGTTGTTCTCTGGCAGGCAGGAGTGGTCGTCACAAGGTGCTCAGTAGGGGAGCTTTTGAGCCAGGATGAGCCAGGAGAAGGAATTTCACAAGATAATGCCATCAGTTAAGGCAGGAACAGGCCATTTTCATTTCTTTTGTGGTGGAATGTCATCAGTTAAGGCAGGAACCGGCCATCTGGATGTGTAAGTGCAGGTCACAGGGGATATGATGGCTTAGCTTGGGCTTAGAGGCCTGACATTCCTGTCTTCTTATATTAATATGAAAAATAAAAGGAAATAGTGGTAAAGCGTTGGGATGGCGAAAATTTTGGGGGATGGTATGGAGAGATAATTGGCGATGTTTCTCAGGGCTGCTTCGAGCGGGATTAGGGGCGGCACGGGAACCTAGAGTGGGAGAGATTAAGCTGAAGGAAGATTTTGTGGTAAGGGGTGATATTGTGGGACTGTTAGAAGAAACATTTGTCATTTAGAATTATTGGTGATGGCCTGGATACGGTTTTGTATGAATTGAAAAACTAAACGGAATAAGAGGAGGAGAAAAACAGGTATTAAAGGTCTAAGAATTGGGAGGACCCAGGACATCTAATTAGAGAGTGCCTAAGGAGATTCAGCATAGTCCTGCTAGCAAAGATTATTTATTTACTTCAAGAGTTAAGAGTGGCAGTTTGGGGATAGCACCAGGAGATATCAGCTGTGACAGCTTGGAAAAACAGTGTAAGCCAGCAGTGTAAACAAGAGCAGGGCATGTATGAGTAGTTGAGAATGGTGAATAGGAGTATGACTAGACAGAAGATAGTAGGGATGACAAGTTTTTTGGGGGGCACAGTCTAAGTTGGTCTGGTGTCTGAAATGAGACTGGGGCTTAATAAAAAGGAGCATCCATACAGGAGCTCAAATGGACCGTACCCTGTAACATTCCGAGGGCAGGCCTGAATTCTGAGAAAAGAAAAAGGTAAAAGTATTGTCCAGTCCTTTTAAAGTTGGTGACTGAGCTTGGTGAGGTGTGTTTTTAAAAGACCATTAGTCCATTCTACCTTTCCTGAAGACGGAGGACTGTAAGGGATATAAAGGTTTCACTGAATACCAAGAGCCTGAAAAACTGCTTGGCTGATTTGACTAATAAAGGCTAGTCTGTTATCAGACTGTATAGAGATGGGAAAGCTAAACTGAGGAATTAGGTCTGACAGAAGGGAAGAAATGACTGCGGTGGCCTTCTCAGACCCTGTAGGAAAGGCCTCTACCTATCCAGTGAAAGTGTCTACCTAGACTAAGAGGTATTTTAGTTCTCTGACTTGGGGCATGTTGAGTAAAGCTAATTTGCCAGTCCTGGGTGGGGGCAAATCCTCGAGCTTGATGTGTAGGGAAGGGAGGGGGCCTGAATAATCCCTGAGGAGTAGTAGAATAGCAGATGGAACACTGAGAAGTTATTTCCTTGAGGATAGATTTCCACGATGGAAAGGAAATGAGAGGTTCTAAGAGGCGGGCTAGTGGCTTGTACTATAGCATAGCCTGCCTTTGCTGGTGTGTGGCGATTAGGCCTGGTGGAACCGCCATCAATAAATCAAGCGTGATCAGGGTGAGGAACAGGAAAGAAGGAAATATGGGGAAATGGGGTGAATGTCAGGTGGATCAGAGAGATACAGGCATGGGGGTCAGGTGTGGTATCAGGAGTAATGTGGGAGCCAGAATGAAGTCCACGCCAGGAACAATGGTAATTGTGGGACTTAACAAAGAGTGAGTACAGCTGAAGGAGCCGGGGAGCAGAAAGTATACGCGTCAGGTATGAGGAAGAAAATAGATTTTGGAAGTTATAAGAAATGTAGAGAGTGAGTTGAGCATAGTTCGTGATTTTTAGGGCCTCTAAAAGTATTAGGGCGGCAGCAGCCGCTGCATGGAGACATGAGGGCTAGGCTAAAACAGTAAGGTTAAGTCGTTTGGACAGAAAGGCTACAGGGTGCGGTCCTGGCTCTTGTGTAAGAATTCTGACCGCACTAACCAAGCCTAGGAAGGAAAGGAGTTATTGTTTTGTAAGGGATTGAGGTTTGGGAGATTAATCGGACACGATCAGCAGGGAGAGCACATGTGTTTTTATGAGAATTATGCCAAGATAGGTAACAGATGAGGATGAAATTTGGGCTTGACTGAAGTAATGGGGGCTGTCTGTGAAGCCTTGCGGCAGTACAGCCCAGGTAATTTGCTGAGCCTAATGGGTGTCAGGGTCAGTCTAAGTGAAAGCAAAGAGAGGCTGGGATGAAGGGTGCAAAGGAACAGTAAAGAAAGCATGTTTGAGATCCAGAACAGAATAACGGGTGGTAGAGGGAGGTATTGAGGATAGGAGAGTATACGGGTTTGGCACCATGGGGTGGATAGGCAAAACAATTTGGTTGATAAGGCGCAGATCCTGAACTAACTTGTAAGGCTTGTCTGGTTTTAGGACAGGTAAAATGGGGGAATGGTAAGAAGAGTTTATATGCTTTAAAAGGCCATGCTGTAACAGGCGAGTGATAACAGGCTTTAATCCTTTCAAAGCATGCTGTGGGATGGGATATTGGCACTGAGCGAGGTAAGAGTGATTAGGTTTTAATGGGATGGTAAGGGGTGCATGATCGGTCGCTAAGGAGGGAGTAGAGGTGTCTTATACTTGTGGGTTAAGGTGGGGAGATACAAGGGGAGGATGTGAAGGAGGCTTTGAACTGGGGGAAAAGGTGGCAATGAGGTGTGGCTGTAGCCCAGGAATAATCAGGGAAGCAGATAATTTAGTTTAAGTGTCTTGGCCTAATAAGGGAACCGGGCAGGTGGGGATAACTAAAAAGGAGTGCTTAAAAGAGTATTGCCTGAGTTGGCACCAGAGTTGCAGAGTTTTAAGAGGTTTAGAAGCCTGGCTGTCAGTACGCACAACAGTTATGGAAGCAAGGGAAACAGGCCCTTGAAAACAAAGTAATGTGGAGTGAGTAGCCTCCGTATTGATCAAGAAGGGGACGGACTTACCCCCCACTGTGAGAGTTACCTAGAACGTCTGTGATGGTCCTGTAGGTTTCTGAGGCCATCGGGCAGTGTCAGTCTTCAGCTGCTAAGCTGAGAAGATCTGGGAAGGAGTCAGAGAGCCTTGGGCCAGAGTTCCAGGGGCTCTGGAAGTGGCTGCCAGGTGAGTTGAACAGTCCAATTTTCAGTGGGGTCCCGCACAGATGGGACATGGCTTAGGAGGAATCCCGGGCTGTGGGCATTCCTTGGCCCAGTGGCCAGATTTCTGGCACTTGTAGCAAGCCTCTGGGGGAGGAGGTTCTAGAGGAACCCCTGGCAGCTGCAGTTTAGGAGTTTGGAGTTCTTGTGTGCTGGAGATGTGGCTGGGGTTTGTCTCACAGTGGAGGCAAAGAATTGCAACTCAGAAATATGTTGCTACTTGGCTGCCTCTATTATTGTACACCTTGAAGGTGAGGTTAATTAAGTGTTGTTGTAGGGTTTGAGGGCCGGAATTTAATTTTTGGAGTTTTATTTAATGTCGGGAGCAGATTGGGTAATAAAATGTATATTGAGAATAAGACGGCCTTTTGACCTTTTAGGGTCTAGGGCTGTTAAGCGTCTCAGGGTTGCTGCCGAATGAGCCATGAACCGGGCTGGGTTTTTCATATTTGATGAAAGAGCCTAAACGCTCACTGATTTGGGAGAGGTCTGATAAAGAAAAAGGAGCATTAACCTTGACTATGCCTTTAGCTTCAGCCACCTTTTTAAGAGTAAATTGCTGGGCAGGTGAGGGAGGGCTAGTCACTGAACGAAACTATAAGCCGGACCAGGTGTGAAGAGGGGAGGTGGTAGAAGGATTATAGGGTGGAGGAGCAGAGGCTGAGGAAGAATTGGGACATAGCTCAGCCTGGCGAGGAGCAGCCTGGGGAGGAAGGGAGAGGTCAGATGGGTCTGTAGAAAAGGAAGATTAGAAAGACTCAAAGACGCTTGGGGTTGGGACTGAGGGGACAGGCGGGAGGGAAAGAAGGAAGATTTGGGATGAGTTGCACTGGGCACAGAGACTAGGGAGGGACTGATGTGTAAAAGAAGGCCTGGACGTCAGGCACCTCAGACAGTTTGCCTATTTTACGACAAGAATTATTTAGATCTTGCAAGATGGAAAAATTGAAAGTGCCATTTTCTGACTATTTGGAACTACTGTCGAGTTTGTATTGGGGTCAAGCGGCATTGCAGAAGAAAATAAGATGCTTAGATTTTAGGTCAGGTGAGAATTGAAGAGGTTTTAAGTTCTTAAGAACACAGGCTAAGGGAGAAGAAAGAGGAATGGAGGGTGGAAGATTGCCTATAGTGAAGGAGGCAAGCCCAGAGAAAAGAGAGAGTAGAGACACGGAGGGAAGGGGTTCGGGGGTTCTTACCCTCCAGAAAAGCGAGAAAGGGGTCGGGGTGCAGAAATAAGGGGTTGGGGCGCAGAGATAAGAGGTCGGAGTGTGGAAATAAGAGATGGGGGCGCAGAGATGAGATCTGGGCATGGAAATAAGGGATCGGGGTGCAGAGATAAGAGGTCGGGGTGCAGAAATAAGGGATTGGGGCACAGAGATAAGAGGTCAGAGTGCAGAAATAAGGGATGGGGTACAGAGATAAGAGGCTGGGGCATGGAAATAAGGGATTGGGGTGCAGAGATAAGAGGTCAGGGCACAGAAATAAGGGATTGGGGGTTCTTGCCCCCTAGAAAAGCGGGACTTGCCGCTAAGAGTGAAGGAGAAGGGGTTGAGGGGTTCTTAACCCTCCTCCAGAAAAGCGGAGAGGGGTAGAGACACGGAGAGAAGGGGCTGGGGTACTTGCCCTTCCCCCAGAAAAGTGGGACTTGCCACTAAGGGTGAAGGACCAAGGCAGGTGTCCCTGCGTGGTCTGACACCTCTGAAACGTGGGTGAATAATCAGAGGCGTCCTTGCGATGATTAAACACCAAGGGAAGCCTGCCTTCCCAGTCCGTGACCAGCGCCGGAGTTCTGGGTCCAGGGATAAAACGTGTCTCCTTTGTCTCTACCAGAAAATGAAAGGAATTGAAATTAAGAGAAGGGAGAGATTGAAGTGTGGCGCCAAGATTGAAAGGAGAAAGAGGTTGAGGGATAGTGAGGGAGGTTGGAGAAGAGAGTAAAAAGAGGCTGCTTACCGGATTTAAAATCGGTGAGATGTTCCTTGGGCTGGTTGGTCAGAGGAACTGATGTCGTAGGTGGATCTTTCTTCCGGAGCAAAGAACAGGAGGACAGGGGATTGGTCTCCTAAGGGAGGTCCCCTGATCCGAGTCACGGCACCAAATTTCATGTGTGTCTGTGTGACCACCAAACAGGCTTTGTGTGAGCAATAAAGCTTTTAATCACCTAGGTGCAGGCAAGCTGAGTCCGAAAAGAGAGTCAGCGAAAGGAGATGGGGTAGGACCGTTTTATAGGATTTAGGTAAGTAAAGGAAAAAGGGAGGTTGTTCTCTGGCAGGCAGGAGTAGAGGTCACAAGGTGCTCAGTAAAGGGGCTTTTGAGCCAGAAGAAGGAATTTCACAAGATAATGCCATCAGTTAAGGCAGGAACAGGCCATTTTCATTTCTTTTGTGGTAGAATGTCATCAGTTAAGGCAGGAACAGGCCACCTACATGTGTACATTTAGGTCACAGGGGATATGATGGCTTAGCTTAGGCTCAGAGGCCTGACAGTATGTAAACTATATCTCAATAAAGCTATTGTAAAAAAAAGAAGCAAATCCAGTAAATCATATAACGATTAATAAGTCAAGTGAAAGAACAATGAACAACTGTGCACTCATGTCTATCTCATTTTAGTTATAGGGCTGAGGCCTTTGTAGAAGACATTCAGACAAATAACTCAGATGGGTGTTAAGGGAATTTTATATTCTAAACTGATGGTGAGTGTTTCTCAGTATTTGCTGAACAAACTGTCTGTCAGGAGAGCTCAAATATTAAATGAGATTATGCATATTGAAATCAGAAGGAAGAGTTGTATTTACCACGTAAATTAGCTGAACATGTGCACGCATGCACAAAAGCACATGTACGTGTGTGTGTGTGCATGCACACACAAGATGTAATGTGCAATGTTCCCATGGTCCTATAGAGAAATATGGAAATAGAAAAATTCCACCCAACTTTTCTGTGTAAAGATAAAAACTGATTTTTCTTTCTTCAAAATGTTAATATTTTCCTTTTGGTTTATCTGAATTCTATCTAGTCACTTCAAAACGTTAGCATCTATCTTCCTCTTCTGCCTTTCGCCTAGCACTAACCAAAGATTTTGAGGCCCATAGCTTTTCTTGTAGCTTGACGGTGAGTGGCAGGGTGGGCAGAAAGGAAGGATGTTTTCATGCAAGCACTAAGCAAAGTCACCATGTCTTCCTTTGTTATCAGCCAGCCTCATTGACAAGGAGCCCGTGTGTGTGTGTGTGTGTGTGTGTGTGTGTGTGTGTGTGTGTGAATTTGAGAGAAAGCAATGGTAAAGAAAGGGCTAGGTATTCTTTGAGGTTTATTTTTCTCAGAATTGGTAATAAACATTCAAAAGGATGCTATGAGGGAGAGAGAGATAGAGAGAAACATTCTGGTTTTTCTTTATACCTTTGTATCTTTGACTTTTTCTTGAAATGCAAGCACAATAATAAATAGTAAAACAATACCTACATGAAACTAATAAGACATTTGTTTCTATTTTTTACATATTTTATTGGAGAACAAACTTTAAAAGCAAAAGGCTATTTTTATTATTTGTAGTCATGGAAAGAGAATACTGGCATTAAATTGGTATGTAGTGCCAGCCCTCCCCGGTGTGTAGGAATAAATGATCCCAAAAGACTTTCTTCAACATGGGCAGAGCCTGCTTACTAAAGAAACACATATTTATTAAATGGTCACATTATTTATTGAGGAAGTCAGAGAAACTGAAAATCTTATTTCCCAAAACTGTGATAAATGAAAGTCTTCAAAGTGATAGCTGGAAAATGACTGAATTGTGATGACTTTGTGGTTGCATGCTCCTATGAAATTTCAGTGGGTTAGCAAGTGCAGTGAATTAACTCTGAAATGTATAGGTAAACTGGTTATGAGTCCTAAGGTGGGGTAGCTGTATATTGATATGTGTCCTATCTTTATCATTGGGTGACATCTACATACTTTGTGGAATTATAATATTTTATATTGTGGAATTATAATATTTTTATAATGTGGAATTATAATATTTTTGTATATTTTCACTATCAAATTTACATTGTAGTAAAATTAATTTTGCTCACAGTTACACAGATTTAGATAAATAGAAATAAATGCATACTTGGCTACGTTATACCAAGGAACACAAAAGAGGGAAAAAGATATTTTCTCTGCCCTTGATGACATATAACCTATGCCAATGTGGGAAAAAGCCATGAAATAATAATAAAAGCAATCATAACTACAATTCTAATATCTGTACCTGCTCTAACTGGCCTTTTAAAGAATGGTATGTGTCTGTCTATCTATTTCTACATTATGTAATTCTCTTTACAACATTGTGAAATAAATATGAATATTGTTCTTTTGTACATGTAGAAAGCAAGTTTCTAAAAACTTCCCGTAAGTCACAGTACTAAGACGTGGAAGATCTAGAATTCAAATCCATCCTCCCTTGACTACAATGATTTTTCTCTTTTCTAAATGTACACTGTAGTTCACAGTAACTAATTAAGTAAATGATTAATTAAATACAAATCTACTGAGACTGTGCTCTATGTCAGGCATGATACTAGATGCTGAAGTTACAGATGGAAACTTCCATCTTCCTGGGATTTTCATTCAGTCTAATCCTTCCCTTTCCAGACTGACTTCTCCTGTTCATAAGTTCATCCTTCATAAATGCGTAAGCAGAGAACTCCTTGTAAGTCAAGTCGGGGAGTACAACAGCCATCTCCATCCCTTAATACAGTCTACTACACAGTGACAATGTCAGCTGCAAGTGCAATGACCGACAAATGCACAGGCTTTTGTGAGCACGTACCATTTCACAGCTACACTAGAAGTGAGGATAAAGGGCAGGACAGAAGAGGCTGGACATGAAAAAGTGCCCATGCCCTTCCAAGGCAGTCCTCACACTGCAAACCACTTCCTGTTCTTTCACAAGTCCTGTACACATTGCTCTTCTCTTTCCAAATACTTCTTTCTTTTCTGACTCTCAACCTCCTGATGGAATAAAAATTTAAAACACCATCTCTGTCCCCAGGGCCTTCAGTTACCTCTCCTTCTTCTGGGCGTAGCATAGATCCTCCACAGCAGTATTTGTGTGACCTCACACCTAGTAGCTTAGTCATCTCTGATGTACACGCAGTACAGAAGATAGTCCAGTTTTAAAGTGTGGCATCTGTACCCCACCTCCCCAAGAGGCATTGCTCCTACCTGGTTGGTATCTACGACATATTTTACGGGGGGATTCACCCTCTGTGTGTTAAGGAGTTTTGTACTCTTAATACAATCCACAGAGACTCAGCATTTCCCTTCCTCCTCTCAGACACACACTGCTCACCACCAAGTTTCCCAGATGCTGCATTTGATCGTTCTGCCTTAGCTCAGAGCATCTATTTTATGCTTTCTTTCATCTTTTAAAAGTTATTCCTGTTAAGGAAAAATTTGTCTCCTCAAATTTCATAAGCAGAACATTAAAGAGGGATTCCTTAAGCCCTTTCTATCCTAGCAAGGGCTCCAGCGTGTCATTTCACACATAGGCAGTCATTGCTTCTGCTGTGCAGAAAGCCAGATTCAGTCCCGGGAACAGTTTCATCAGCTTCACGTCCACTTTCACATGAAAGTGCTGTGCTTTGTGTCTTCCCCATTTTCTTTCCAGAGTGAATTCCTCTAAGTCAGGGCTCTCAGCTCTCATGGACTGTGCTTTGAAGAACACCAAGATCCACACTTTTAAGCTAACACACAGGCTTTCTTTCTCACTCAGGTTCGAGACTAGCTCCTAGGTTCACACGTGAGCTGTTCTAGGAGTAATCTCCAGATAGACATATTTGGCCACTGGTCAAAATATGAGAAGCAGTCATTTTTTCATTTCTTAAATAAACTCACTTTTATGTTCGTTTAGCTATCTATACTATAAATACTAATGACACGAAAATAATATTAAAACATTGTTGCCTATATGCCTTCAAAAGGGAATACAGGCATATATTCTTTCAGAGCTTCAGTGAAAACATTGTATCCAACTGCTACCATATAACAAAAATATTTTAAAATAATAGACTTTATTTTTCAAGATAGTTTTAGATTTGTGAAAAAAATTGAAAAGATAGTACATAGAGTTTCCTCATACCTGCTCACATAATTAACATCTTATATTGCTATGGTACATTTGTTACCATTAATGAACCAATATTGATACATTATAGTTAACTAAAATCCATAGTTTGTTCCAGTTTTTTTAGCTTTACCTAACGTCGTTTTCCATGCCAGGACCCCATCCTGGTTATCACATTACGTTTAATAGTCATATCATCTTAGATTCCTTTTGGCTGGAATAGTTCCTCAAACTTTCCATGCTTTCCATGACCTTGACAGTTTTGAGAAATACCAGTCAACTACTTTATAGGATGCCCTTGTCTTGGAATTAGCCTGATATTTTTCTCATAATTCAACTAGAGTAATTGGTTTTTATGAGGAAGATCACAAAGATAAAGTGCCAAGTCAATCATATCCTACTACCAAACAGGAAGATTCAGCAACCAATTTGAGGGAAGAGTCCCCACCACATGGAGGGCAGCAAAGATCATAGCAATGCCAACCACCAGCAGTAGGAGGCCCCAGACCTCAGCCCACTGCATATTCTAAGGATGAGGAGTTGCCAAGGAGGACTTGACATACCAGGCACTGGTTAGAACAACTCTGTACTCACAAAAATGAGAAGAGCTGCAGCAAGATCAACATCTGTAGTGGGCTCAGTCTTCCAGGGCAAGTGGGTCCCTACCAGGAGCTGATGCAGAGTGATGGACAGAATGAACCCTTCTTATGCCATAGTCAAGAGACTCTCTCCCTTCCCTGGGGGTGCAGATATACTGGTGGGGCTGGGCAGGTACCATCTGGTGCACGTGCTTAAGCAACACAAAGAAGTTCACCACATACAAGAAGGGAAAGTTTATCCTAATAAGTAAGAAGAATCTGGGGCCAACTTCCATACTGGGGAACTTTCCAGACCCAGAGCCTCGATTCAGCAAACTCCTAGAGTGGGACAGGTGGTGATGGCTGCTTCCCCAACAACAAATCAAGATACATACTGTTAGCATGACTTATCACTCTTGACGTTGACCTTGGCCACCTGGCTAAAGTTGTGTTTATCAGTTTTCTCCACTGTAATCTTTTTTGCCTCCCTTTTCTATAGAGACTTTTGTGGAGCAAAGTCATTATCTACAGCCCACATTTTAAAAGTGCAGATTTATGCAGCGTATATGCATAAATTGTGCAGAATTTGTCTGCAATGGAAATTTGTCTCTTCTCCCCTATTTATTTATACAGTCAGCCTTCTCTTTCCCCAGGGACTGCATCAGCAGATTCAACCAACCATGGATAGAAAATATTCGGGAAAAAAATACAGAAGTAAAACATAATACAAATTAAAAAATACAATATAACAACTATTTACATAGCATTTGCATTGTATTAGATACTATAAATGATCTAGAGATGTTTTAAAGTATACAGGAGGATGTTCCTAGGTTATATGCAAATACTACATAATTTTATATGAGAGACTTGAATATCTGCAAAATTTAGTATCTGCAAGAGGGTTCTGGAAGCAATGCCCATGGATATTGAGGAATGGTTGTATATTCAGTCTATTTAGTATTTGTTTATATCATGTGCACATCATATATGTATAATGTGTGTGTGTATGTGTGTGTATATGTGCAAGTGTGTACCATGTTTTCTTTTCTATTTGTTATTCTTTGTTTCTTTCACAATTGAGCAGGTTTAAGCCTGTTTGTAGAGTGGATATATGTTCACAGCAAAATTGAGAGGCAGGCACAGATGTTTCTCATATACCCCATGTGCCCAGATGCAAAGCCTACCCCATTATCAACCCCATCAGTGTGGTAAATTTGTTACAATTGATCAGCCTACATTGATACATCATTATCATCTGAATTCCATAGTTTACAGTAGAGTTAATTTCTGGGTTTGAACATTCTTTGCATAAATGTGTAATTACATGTATCCACCATTGCAGTATCATACAGAGTAGTTTCACTGACCTAAAAATCCTCTGTGCTCTGCCTATTCATCCTTCCCTCCCCTTTCACCCTTGGGAACCACTTTTTTTCCAGAATGTCATATAGGTGGAATCATGTAGTATGTAGATTTTTCAAAATGGCTTCTTTCACTTAGATTTATGCCTTTACATTTCTTCTGTGTCTTTGCATGGCTTGATAGCTCATTTCATTTTAATGCTGAATAATATTTCATTGTCTGCATGTACTTCATTTTTTATCCATTCACCTACTGAAGGACATCTTGGTTGCTTCCAAGTCTTGGTAATTTATAAATAAACGTTCTATATAAACATCTGTGTGCAGGTTTTTCTAAAGCCTTAAGTTTTCATAAAATATCAGAGTGCAATTGTTGGCTTACATGGTAAGATTATGTTTAATTTTATTAGAAATTGAAAAACTGTCTTCCAAAGGGTATCTGTATGAGCACTTTATGATTCTATTTTCTCTCTTCTCTTTGCGTATTATTTTATTGTATTTTGCCCTACATCTTGCAGTATACTATTAACTAATCCAACTTCACATTCAAATACCACTATACCACTTCATGGGTTGTACAGATAACTTAAAACATAGTATTTTCAATTCTTCCCTCTATTTCTTATGTTATTCTTAGGAGTCATTTCACTTATCACATACTATAATTACATAATGCATTAGTACCATGATTACTTTGAACAGTTATCTACTATATCAAATGATAATTTAAAAAGTAAATTATTTACCTTCCGTAATTCTTTTCCTAAATATTTTTCTTTATTTGTGTAGATCTAAGCTTATGACCCATATCACTTTCCTTCTTGCAGAACTTCTTTAACATCTTACAGGGCTGGTTTGCTTACAATGAATTTCTTACTTTTTGTTTTTCCAAGAGGTATTTCTCTTTCACTTTTGAAGGATAATTTTGCTGGTTTTAGAATTCTAGGTTTGTTTGTTTTTTTTTTAAATTAGCTCCTTGTTTGCGTGGTTTCTCATGAGTAGACAATATTTCTCATCTCTTTTCTTTGTTAGTAAGGCATTTTTTTCTCTCTTTTTTTCATTGTATTTCAAATGAAATACAATGAATACAATGTTGGGCTTCCACAGTAGGATATGGCATGCCTAATTGTAGATTTTTGGGGGGGAATTATTCTGTGTGGTGTTGTCTGAACTTCCTGAGTCTGTGAATTAGTGTATGTCATTAACTTTTGAAAGTTTTCAGCCATTATTACTTCAAATATTCCTTGTGCTCTATTCTTTCTTTTCCCTCTGGTATTCCAATTTCTAAAGGTATATTAGACCTTTGGAAATTGTCTCGCAGTTCTTGGATCCTCTATTGATTCATTATGTTTTTCTCTTTCTATTTCAGCTTGTGAAATTTTTGTTGACATTGCTTCAAGCTCACGTATTTTCCTGATAGGTCCATCCAAAGACATTCTTCATTTGTAACTGTGTTTTGTATTTCCAGCATTTCCTTTTGATTCTTTCTTAATGTTTCATTCTTTCTGCTTATATTATCCATTTGTTCTGCTTTTTCTATTAGAATTTTTATTATATTAATTATAGTTCTCTTAAATCCTTATTCGATAATTCCAAATTTGGTATTATATTTGAGTCTGATTCTGAGGTTTGCTTTGTCTCATCAGATTGTGTTTTCTCTTCCCTGTTAGCCTATCCTTGTAATTTTTTTGGAAGTTGGACGTGACA
This sequence comes from Homo sapiens, assembly GCF_000001405.40. Taxonomy (NCBI): domain Eukaryota; kingdom Metazoa; phylum Chordata; class Mammalia; order Primates; family Hominidae; genus Homo; species Homo sapiens. The sequence goes on along the minus strand of NC_000001.11, from coordinate 239,093,966 downwards.
TACTGAGTTACAGGAATAGGGTAAAATAGGCTTTCAATGTGAGTTTTTAAGTTTGTTGGGGTAGGAGCTTGGCTATGCATAGTATTTCCAATAGCTGTAGGTTCTAGGATCTGCAAATTCCTCTAGTGTCCTTGTTTTTGTCTCTCCTGTTGTCTTTGAGTTTCCCCCAAGAACTTCTTGGAGTCTGTGTCTTACAGTTCTTTCATCTGTATCCACTGGTATCAGACTGGAGCTAGTTGGTGTAGTGGTAAGGAAAGGATGAGGTGAAGGAGCTTTAAGTGTTAAGTAATTTTAGGATTAAATCTGTCTTTTAGTAGGCTTCGGGCCTGGTGTATGACCTTTACAAGTATATTTAACACTTTTCTCCCTGATTTTCTCACACTAGGTGACTCTAGAGTGGCCTGGAGTTGGGTAATAGCCCTTCCTCTGGAGAGCAGGCCTTCATTATGGAATGTGTATTTCCAGATGGCCACTTTCACCTCCTCCTGCCAGAGCCAAGAAGGGATTTTTTTTTTTTTTAACTCTTTACCATGAGAATATTGTAGAATTCCTGGAGGTAAAATTTATAAAAGTGTGGGGTCCCCATAAGATGGAAACCATCCAGGGTTTTTCTTTCTCAATCTAATCCACACTCAGCCTCAGGAAATAAATATCAAAATTACAAGGCGAGTGTTCCTGCCAGTGTCTGGGTGCAGTGGTTTCTGCTCCAAGTCAGTTGCTCTGTGCTGTGATTGTCTACATTCATTTGTCTACAGAATTTGGGGTAGCAGTTTGCCATGTGACCTTAATTCTCAGATGAGTCTTAAAAAGTCATTGATTTTTTAAGTTAATCTTTTTTTTCTTATTGTAAAAATGGAGTTGTTGCTTTCTGAGCTCTTATATGACTGAGCTGAAGTCAGAAGGATTGGGAAGAGATTTTTAGGTAACCAATTTATTTCAGTTGGAAGACAACATAGGCAATGTTCACCTTTTTATGATTACAGCTTTACCGTAAAGTCACATATTTTCATTTGACCCACATCATCATAAATTTAATTTATGGAGCTTACACAACTACTTTAGTTAAATTAATCCAAAAAAAAAATCTTAAACGCCGACATTCTATTACTGATTGAATTTCCATCTTGATTAAACGGAACCTCAAAATTAAGAGGATATCTACTTAACCTTATTTGGTACTTTATATACTTATAATAATATAGCTTCTCATATAGCTTTTGACATATTTTAAATAACACACTCCATTCTGTATTTGTTCCAAGGTTTGTAGAACCTATCTGTTTCAGTTGGACCATTTATACAACAGCACAAAAATTATTAACCTACTCACTAGCTGGCTGTGAAGAACACATGGTAATCTTGATGTCAAACACTGTACAGATAGAAACTACTGAGGACAGCCTTGATAATACAGAGGGTAACTTCCAATCCAACACATCATGCGCTCTCTGTGCTGGATAAACACCTATGTTCTTACTCAAAATTATATTTACTTCTGTTAGCAACTTTCAAAATATCCACTCTGATTCCTTAGAGCTTCCACTTGATGTTCAATTCTTACATTGTCAGCAGATAACCCCAAGCTATAAAATGCACGCCGAGTAGAAAAGTTATTACCAAAACTAAATTTTGTACATGCTTAGCAGTAGAATGCCCTCATCATTAGACTCTCATACTTCCTCTTGCATTTGGCCAATAGTAACCCCGTCTCTCTCCTCCAAGCTAGTTACCCATCTGCTCCCCCAACTTTTGATTCAAAATGACAGAATGACTTTTTAAAGCTTTGCAGTGATATATTTTCTGTGTTATATGGGATAACATATACAGTGCACTTATCTAGACACATGAGTAAAATATACACTGCAGCCTGGAATGGGGATTATAGTTTACTTTTGGATCCTGCATACACAAAAGAAGTGAGTGGAGTTTTCCCTTACGTCATTTTTCATCTATGTGTGCTGAAAAGACTTCACTCCCCCCAAAAAAGATGAAGAACTAGATATATGCATTATGTGTTCAGTTTTTACAATTGTTGATAAGCACATAAAGGGTATACAAAAGTGACAGAATATTATCATTTGTGGAATGTATTGTTATGTTTAAATTCATAGTCTAATAGCAAGCAGTATCTTAACAGACTACTGACCTGAAGTACTTTGGAGGCAGAAGTGATAGTTAACACACGTCATAATTCAAAGTTCAAGGCAAGTTTTGAGAAGGGACCATCAAGAAGAAAACTGACCTTCGACTCTCTCACTGCCCTGAGGGAGGGTGCAGGGATGGAACACTCATTTCCTTCTTCTGTTTAGCTGCCTCTGAAACATGGGTATAATTATTAGGCAGGCAGGTCCTCTTTCTTTGGAAAAAGATATAGTACCCTCTTAGGGTAAATGTACGTAAAGCTTTAGCCATTTTACTAATCTCATCAGTAAGAACCTAAATCTAGAAATTTTATTTTGGTGATTGTACAGTTAAAAAAAATAAAAGGTTCCCTAGAAGAAGATAAAGTAATTTTAAAGAAAATGACTATGATGTTTTCTTGGGCACAAAAAATAATCAAGAAAAGTATTTGATAATATTTGTGAACTGTTCTGGTAACTCTACATCATACCTATGTAACATATCAGAATGTGTTTACCCATGATCTTTATTACATTTACTTTTCTAAACTCTCCTCTCTATCAAAGAAAGATAAACCCTGAAAACTGTCTTATTTGTCAGTAGTATCTTATGTAGATAAGAGGTTGTCTTATGTATATTAATAAGAGGTATATTATCTTATGTATGTTAATAAGAGGTATATTATGTATGTTAATAAGAGGTATATTAGCCCATTTTCTCACTGCTATGAAGACATTATCTGAGACCGGGTAATTTATAAACAAAGGAGATTCAATTGACTCACAGTTCCACATGGCTGGGGAAGCCTCAGGAAACTTACAATCATGGTGGAAGGCGAACCAGGCACCTTCTTCACAAGGCAGCAAGAGATAGTGTGAGCATGTGAAGGAGGAACTGCCAAACACTTAGAAAACCAGCAGACCTTATGGGAACTCACTCACTATCACAAGGACAGCATGGGGAAAACAACACCCATGATTCAATCACCTCCCTCCCTTGACATGTGGGGATTCCAGTTCAAGATGAGATCTGGATGGGGACACACAGCCAAGCATATCAAGAGGCAATCAGCATTACACCAAGATATAAGGTTGGAAGAAAAGGGGACCCTATTAATCTTTAATTTTTACATGATGCCTGATTAGATTATCTAATCTCATTCTGGAATCACAAAACAGAATAACACAACATTGGGTGTGTGAAGCAAGAGAGAGTAGATATCCAGAAATATTCATATTTCTGGATATTTGTAAATATTTGTAAATATGAATATTTCTGGATATCTACAAAACACTAATAATGCTTTTTCAGAAATTATGGGCTCGTGTTCTGACCAGGTAGATGAATGTCTTCTATGAAAAATTCAAGTGAACTTAGTAAGGAAGAATCCTCTGGAATTACTTGAGGTAGTCAGAATTTTCCAAGTGCTCCAGAGAATCTGGCATTCTACTTTGAGCTGTTTTTTGCAGAATTTACTCTGTTTACATTCTGCAGATTGTAATCTGTACCTTCAAGCTTCTAATCTAAGGTTTTTTCTCAAATACAAAGCAAACAAAATAGAAAAATCATTTGACAATTCTAAACAGAGAGCATTGCTTCAATAAATAGTTAACTATTTATCAGTATAAAATTTAAGCTTGTATTTTAAAAGTTGAGATTATTGCTTCAGCAAAATTTAAATTGAGGTTGTGTTTTCATTTTTGTATATTTTTAACTGCCTCTTTTTTGATGTAGTAGTCAAAAATTTATTTTGAATTGGAATAAATTATTATTTCTTCAGCTGAAGACATTCTAATTTGGTTAGCTGAGAAACATTTAATTTTTTGTTATTTTTTGTTTTGCTTTGTTTTGTTTTTTGAGATAGGGTCTCTCTCTGTCACCCTCGCTGGAGTGCAGTGGTGTGAACTCAGCTCACTGCAACCTCCATCTCCCAGGCTCAAGCGATTCTCCTGCCTCAGCCTCCCGAGTAGCTGGGATTACAGGTGTGTGCTACTACCACCCAGCTAATTTTTGTATTTTTAGTAGAGACGGGATTTCACTATGTGGGCCTTGCTGGTCTCGAACTACTGACCTTAAATGAGCCACCTGCCTTGACCTCCCAAAGTGCTGGGATTACAGGCATGAGCCATTGCACTCAGCCAGAAACATTCAATGTTCATAAGAACATGTTTGTTTTGTTCATTCACGGTTATATGCCTACCTTTCTTTCCTTTCTTCAATTGAGTGTACTCCCAATAGTGATGGCAACAAATGCTGATTATTAGAGATAAGAGGTCTAACCTCTGTATGTGTAGTATTTGGTTGAAGATTTCATTTTGTATAAGAATAAATGAAAGTGTACACAATTAATAATAATAACAATCACCTTTCTTGATGACCACAGAGCCCTCAGGACACTATATGTTTCCGTTGTTTCTCTCGTGAATGAGACGTCTGGATGAGAGAAGTGTTAAGAATTTGATCTGGTGTGTGTTCAAGAAAAATCTTTCATTTCAATCATTTTATTGTTTTTGTATTTGTAAGGACAGATATCCAGCATATATGGCTTATTGTTTGCCATCTATGAGTTTTTGGACTTTCAAGGATAGCTGGTTTGGGGAAATGGAAGGTTAAATTACTCTGGTTAGGACTATAACAGTCTGCAGCTGACGGCCAGAGAAGAGTGAAAAATGCAAAGAAAACGTGTAGTAAATGGGAACCAAAGAAGAATGTGGCCAGAGAAAATTCCCACGGCAGCAAATGGCCGATGAATTTTAAAACAATAACTCTTTGAGGTCAGGGGTTATGTTTTATTAGTTTCTTTATCTCCAGCTCCTAACTAAATACTGATCATTTACTAGAACCTAGGTAAACGTTTGTTGAATTAAGTCAATTGAAATCGCTTATTGCATTTATACAATGCCCCATTAGGTCAATAATACTTCCTGCTTACATATGATGATATCAAGGCAAAAAAAAAAAAAAAACACAAAAACGAACAGAGGCAGAACTGAGAGAAATTGGGATTCAAATGTAATCTTAATGAATCATTTTCACTCTACCAATGTATTTCAAAACATGTCTTCAGTCCTATGGGAAAGTTGAAAAAAGAAGGGTTCCATGGTTAAAGATTTTTAGGAAGTTTCATACATATTATTGCCCCTCCCGAACTTTTGTAAGGCATGTTAAGATACTAAAATCTCTGATGAAACTTTTTGTTTCACATTTGTTCTAACTTTGTTTCTGTCAGCATTTCTCAAAAAGGCTTTATCGTGTGTCCATGTGTACTCATTGTTCACAGGAAGGGGAACATCACACACCGGGGCCTGTTGTGGGGTGGGGGGAGCGGGGAGGGATAGCATTAGGAGATATGCCTAATGTAAATGACGCGTTAATGGGTGCAGCACACCAACATGGCGCATGTATACATATGTAACAAACCTGCACATGGTGCACATGTACCCTAAAACTTAAAGTATTAAAAAAAAACTTTGACAGAAGTAAATGTAAATATATATATGTACACACACACATATATATAATCATATAATGGAGATTCTGCACCTATGGAAAATGTGCCTTAATATTACTGCTTTCTGAAGTGCTAAAAAAGCAAGGATAGGGTTGATACGATTTGAAAGTTTATATCCCCCCTAAATTTATATGAGGATCCTAATCCCCAGCATCTTTGTAATGGGAAGGTGAAGTCTTTGAAAGGTAATCAGAAGTAAGGTTTTTGGGTAAACCCCTCATGAAGGGGATTAGTTGCCCAAAGTGTCCCCAGGGATCTGCTTTGCCTCTTCCCCCATGTGAGAACTCAGTGAGAAGGGGCTATCTATAAGAAACTGAGTCCTTGCCAGACACTGAATCTGCTAGTATTTTGATCTTGAACTTCTCAGTGTCTAGAACTGTAACAAAAGAATTTCTGTTGTTTACAAGCTACCCAGTTAATGGTATTTTGATTTATTAACCTGCATTTATTTAAATAGGGGTTACTAAAATTATTCTGAATTTAAGTGAAGATAGAGGCATACTTTCCACATTTGCTATAGAAATAGTATACTTGTTTTAATTATAGAAATTTATTTTAATGCATTCAGAGAATAAGTCTAATTGTTACAATTCTAGTCACAATGAGTAATAGCCTTTTACTTAAATAAGATAATAAGACAAGTAATCTCAGTGTTTAGTTTGTTTTGTAACGTTGTATAGCTTAGGAAAGGAAATCTGGGTATGAATGACTTTGATCCCTCCATTATTCACAAAGTGGAAGAAGAAGAGTCTAGCTCTGTTATTTTAGCATTATTGTCCCTGTGGTGATATTATAAAGTCATTTTAAATGAGTCTTTAAAACAAAAAAACTAAAAAGGAAAAAGGAAATCCTTTTAAATTTTAAAAGAAACCTTAAAAAGAATTTTTAAAAATTATTTGAAAGTCATTATTTACCTTTCTGGAAAATATAAAATAAAGGGAAAAAAAAGGCTTTATTGAAGCTTTCATATCGGTTTTAGAAAGGTTTTTAAAATGTGCAGGGATAATGGCAGAAAAAATTCACTATTGTCATAGTAAAAGAAATTATATCACTGGCTAAAAATATGATGAAATATCATAGCCATTACTATAGAAATAAATGTAGCTCATAGGAAGCTATTAAGAGAGTATAAACTAATTATTTATAAGTTTTCAATACATGTAAGAGTATTTCTATGGAGCTTAATTATCTATATCCATATTTTCTGGAATGATGGAATCTATAATTAGAATCATACATTCTTGGCATCCACTACTTCCCAGAAATAAAATGGACAGAAAATATAGATTATTGTTCCTTTATTTGTGCAAATATTTGTCATTCAATTGTATTATTAATGTTAATACTTGAGATTACAAAAGTCTTTTTCCATTTGAGGCATTCATTCTGATTAAGTGTTGTATCATGTGGAGCTGTTTGTCTTGACTGAAATTCAAAAGGTTAAACAGTAGGTGAAATTAGAAATACTACGATCATTAATGAAGGTCATTGAAAGCTAATTAATTGTTTCTTGAGTAAATAGTTGGGTTGTAGAACTTGTACTTTCTAAATGGTTCTCTGTAAAATGCAAAATTAAAAAATTCTTTTACAGACAAGGTGTTTGACAATCGCAGGCTTATATCCTCCTTCTTGATAAAACTTGGAGAGAGAAATCCACAAGATACCTTATAATGAAGTGATAACATAGGCCACTTAATGCTAACATCAAACAAAGTTACAGTGATTTATCCTAAATTATGTTAAGTTGATTTGGAATAAGACAGTTTATTTTAATAGAAATTAGGCAAACCAGGGAAAATATATATCAGGATTCTGGAATTTGCAGCACATCATATACTTTTTTTTCCCCAAAGAAATCCTGTCATAGCCACCAGAACTTCCCAAGTTACATTGGAAAAAATACAACTCGCTTTGCCTTCAGGAGAATGTCTTATTTTCTTAATAAAATGTATTCATTAATTTGTATTAAACAAATATGTACATTAAATGTTTATCATGTGCAGAATTGCTCTGAAAGAAATTGTGTAAAAAGGGAAATTAATAAAGAGATATTGATTGAACAGCTATAATTGCTGAGGTTAACTTTAGGCTATTTTTGAGATACTTAGTGACATATTTGCAACCTATGAAAGAGGCTTTGCTGCGGGACACAGTGCCTGACACATGTGAGACATTCAGTAAATTATCATTGACAGATGAAAAGTAAAAACATAAAAAAAACCAATCTAACAATATAAAAATGCAAAGAGTAATTACTAAGGGCAGTGAGCTATCAAAGTGGATTGGAACACAGAAGATCTTCAAATAGAAGAGGGGCTTAACTACTGTTTTGAGGGTGAGAGGAGTTTTTGATATGGGTAATAAGAAAAACTTTAGAAAGCAGAGACTAATGCTTACAACAGAAATATTTAGAGAGATATGTAGCAGGTTGGAGTAAAGGGAGGAAGATAGCAAAGGATGGTTGTTGGACAGCAATGGAAGATAGCAGGTTGGAAATTGAGATTATAAATATATAGTATGAAATTTTTTTAGAGGAATTTAAATGAAAGGCAGGAAAATCGAATAAGATACGGATCTTAGATTTTGAACACTTTTATTTTTATCTAGGAACCAGGCCCATTTCCATTCACTAAGAAATGCTCTTTAAGACTAAATTAGAGTTTGGTAAATTACTAGACAATGAATAGATTTGAGAAGCTCTTCTGGAAATGCAGGGCTGATGTGAATGAGGGCCTAGTGAAAGGGAGTACCAGGTAGTGTGCAAGCTAGTTAGGCAGAAGGATGGGACAGATGTGAGGACATTTCAAAGACAAATGCCATAAGACTTACAAATTACTAAAATTATTCAAATAGCAAATTTACTGACTGTAAGGTTGATACAAAGCAATCAAATTCATTTCTACTCAAGCTATTAAAAGAAAAATACTGCTTAAAATAGGAATAACAAAAAAATACTTAAGAAATCAAGAGGTAGAGGAAGCAGCAGGAAAAGCCCTGTGGGCTCTCTGGGTCCTCTGGGAAGTCATTTCTGCCTTGCCTTATAGGGGTCCTTGGGGATGGCTGCCAGAGGTATGGGGAAAAGACCACAGGGAGAAGGACACCTCCAACCGAACTGAACTTTGTAACAATTCCAACTGAATGCTAAGTCTCCTGGCCAGAACTCGGGGAGGGGGTGAATCTGGTGTGCTGACTCCACACGCAGGGAGGCACAAAAGGCCTGCTTCCTTTCACAGCTGGGAGGCTGGTGAAATCCTCAGCCCTGCTCACCCACTGCCTGGAAACAGACTCAGCCCTCTTGGTGGGGGCATGGTGGGAGTGAGGCTGGCCTCTGGGGTTGTGTGGAAGCTGGATGAAGCCTGTGACTTCTGGCTTTCCCCCACTTCCCTGACAACCTGCATGACATGGCAAAGGCAGCCACAATCCTCCTGGGATCATAAGTCCATTGAGCTGGGAACCACATCCTCATCCCCACAGCAGCTGCAGCAAAAAAGACCCACCCAAGGAGAGTCTGAGTTCAGACATGCCTAGCCCTGCCTCCATCTGAGGGTCCTTCCCTACCCACCCTGGTGGCTGAAGACAAAGGGCATATACTCTTTGGAGTTCTAGGGCCCCAACACACTGCCTGATCATCCCTACACTACCACAACAGATGGCTCTTGAAAGCGCCACCTCCTGGCAGGAGGCCAACCAGCACAAAAATAGTGCATTAAACAACCAAAACTAAGGACCCTCACAGAGTACAATTCACCCCCTTGCAACCTACGCCAGAGCAGGTGCTGGTATCCTGGGCTGAGAGACCTGGAGATGGTTCACATCACAGGACTGTACAGACAACCCCCAGTACCAGCCTAGAGCCTGGTAGACCTATTGGGTGGCTAGATCCAGAAAAGAGATAACAATCTCTACAGCTCCACTCTCAAGAAGCCACATCCTTAGGAAAAGGGTGCGAGTACTACATCAAGGGAACACCCTATGGGACAAGAGAATCCAAATAGCAGCCTTAAGCCGTAGACCTTCCCTCTGGCATAGCCTACCCAAATGAGAAGGAACCAGAAAAAGAATTCTGGTAATATGACAAAATACAGTTCTTTGACACACCCAAAAAATCACACTAGCTCACCAGCAATGGATCCAAACTAAAAAGAAATCTTTGATTTACCTGAAAAATAATTCAGAAGGTCAGTTATTAAGCTAATCAAGAAGGCACAAAGAAAGATGATGTCCAAGTTAAGGAAATCAAAAAAATGATACAAGAAATGAGGGGAGAAATCTTCAGTGAAATAGGTAGCATAAATAAAAACAATCAAAATTTCAGGAAATGATGGATGCACTTAGAGAAATGCAAAGTGTTCTGGAAAGTCTCAGCAATAGAATTGAACATGCAGAAGAAAGAACTTTAGAGCTCGAAGACAAGGTTTTTAAATTAACCCAATCTGACAAAGACAAATAAAAAAAATAAGAAAAAATGAGCAAAGTATCAGGGAAGTTTGGGATTATGTTAAATGACCAAACCTAAGAATAATTGGTGTTCCTGAGGAAGAAGAGAGATCTAAAAGTTTGGAAAACGTGTTTGAGGGAACATTCGAGGAAAACTTCCTTGGCCTTGCTAGAGACCTGGACTTCCAAATTCAAGAAGCTCAAAGAACACCTGGGAAATTCATTGCAAAAAGATAATCACCTAGGCACATTTCACCAAGTTATCTAAAGTTAAGACAAAGGAAAGAATCTTAAGAATTGTGAGGCAAAAGCACCAGGTAACTTGATAAAACCTAAAAAAAAAAAAAAAAAAAAAAGACAAACCTATCAGATCAACAGCAGATTTTTCAGCAGAAACCTGACAATCTAGAAGGGATTGGATCCCTATCTTCAGCCTCCTTAAACAAAGCAATTATCAGCCAAGAATTTTGTATCCAGCAAAACTAAGCTTCATAAATGAAGGAAAGATAGTCTTTTTCGGAGAAATACTGAGAGAATTCACCGCGACCATTACAAGAACTGCATTACAAGCATTACAAGAACTGCTAAAAGGAGATCCAAATCTTGAAACAAATCCTGAAAACACATCAAAACAGAACCTCTTTAAAGCATAAATCTCACAGGACCTATAAAACAAAAATAAATAAAAAACAAACAAGGTATACAGGCAACAAATAGCACAATGAATGGAATAGTACCTAACATCTCAGTGCTCAATATTGAATGTAGATGGCCTTAATGCTCCACTTAAAAGGCACAGAATTGCAGAATGGATAAGAATTCATCAACCAACTATCCACTGCTTCAAGAGACTCAACTAACACATAAGGACTCACATAAACTTAAGGTAAATGGGTGGAAAAAGATATTCTATGATAACAGATAAACTATAAAGCAACAGCAGTTAAAAAAGACTGAGAGGGACATTATATAATGATAAATGTCCTTGTCCAACAGGAAAATATCACAATCCTAACTATATATGCACCTAAGTCTGGAGCTCCAAAATTTATAAAACAATTACTACTAGACCTAAGAAATGAGATGAACAGCAACATAATAATAGTGGGGGACTCCAATCCTCCACTGATAGCACTAGACCGATCATCAAGACAGAAAGTCAACAAAGAAACAATCGATTTAAACTATGCCCTGGAACAAATGGACTTACTAGATATTTACAGAGCATTCTACCCAACAACTGCAGAATATACATTCTACTCATCAGTGCATGGAATTTTCTCCAAGACAGCCTATATGATAGGCCACAAAACAAGTCTCAATACATTTAAGAAAACTGAAATTATATCAAGTACTCTTTCAGACCACAGTGGAATAAAACTGGAAATCAATGCCAAAAGGAACCTTCAAAACCATGCAAATATATGTAGATTAAATAACCTGCTCCTGAATGATCATTGGGTCAACAATGAAATCAAGATGTCAATTAAAAAATTCTTTGAACTGAAAGACAATAGTGACACAACCTATCAAAATATCTGGGACACAGCAAAGGCAGTGCTAAGAGGAAATTTTATAGCCCTAAATGCCGACATCAGAAAGTATAAAAAAGCACAAATAGATAATCTAAGGTCACACCTCAAGGAAGTAGAGAAACAAGAACAAACCAAACCCAAACCCAGCAAAAGAAAGGAAATAACCAAGATCAGGTCAGGACTAATGAAATTGAAACAAAAAAATGCGAAAGATAAATGAAACAGAAAGCTGGTTCTTTGAAAAGATAAATAAGGATTGACCATTGGCAAGATTAACCAAGCACAGAAGAGAGAAAATCCAAATCAGCTCAATTACAAATGAAACAGAAAATATTATGTGACACCATAGAAATATAAAAGATCATTCAAGGCTACTATGAACACCTTTACGCACATAAACTAGAAAACCTAGAGGAGATGGATAAATTCCTGGAAAGATAAAACCTTCCTATCTTAAATCAGAAAGAATTAGATACCCTAAACAGACCAATAACAAGTGGTGAGATTGAAATGGTAGTTAAAAGATTACCAACAACAAAAACAAAAAAAGTCCAAGATCAGACAGATTCACAGCTGAATTCTACCAGACATTCGAAGAAGAATTGGTACCAATCTTATTGACACTATTACACAAGATAGAGAAAGAGGGGATCCTCCCTAAGTCATTCTATGAAGCCAGTATCACCCTAATACCAAAACCAGGAAAGGACATAACCAAAAATGAAAACTACAGACCAATATCCCTGATGAACATAGGTGAAAAATTCCTTAACAAAATGCTAGCTAACCAAATCTAACAACGTATCAAAAAAAAATAATCCACTATGATCAAGTGGGTTTCATACCAGGGATGCAGGGGTAGTTTAACATATCCAAGTCAATAAATGTGATACACCACATAAACACAATTAAAAACAAAAATCACATGATCATCTCAATAGACACAGAAAAAACATTCAACAAAATCCAGCATCCATTTATGATGAAAACTCTCAGTAAAATTGGAATACAAGAGACATACCTCAAGGCAATAAAAGCCATCTATGGCGAACCCACAGCCAACATAATACTGAATGGGGAAAAGTTGAAAGCATTCCCTTTGAGAACTGGAACAAGACATGCCCACTGTCACCAGTTCTATTCAGTGAAGTACTGGAAGTCATAGGCAGACCAATCGGATTGGTAAAGAGGGAGACAAACTGTCGCTGTTTGCGGATAATATAATTCTATACCTGGTAAACCCTAAAGACTCCTCCAAAAAGCTCCTAGAACTGATAAATGAATCCAGCAAAGTTTCAGGATACAAAATTAATATATGCAAATCAGTAGCTCTGCTTTACACTAACAGCAACCAAGCTGAGAATCAAATCAAGAACTCAACTCCTTTTCTAATAGCAGCAAAAAATAAAATAAAATAAAATACTTAGAAATATATCTAACCAAGGAGGTGAAAGACCTCTACAAAGAAAACTACAGAACATTGCTGAAAGAAATCATAGATGACACAAACAAATGGAAACACATCTGATGCTCATAGATGGGTAGAATCAATACTGTGAAAATAAGCATACTGCCAAAAGCAGTCTACAAATTCCATGCAATTCTCATCAAGATACCACCATCATTCTTCACAGAACTAGAAAAAAAAATCCTAAAACTCATATAGAACCAAAAAAGAGCCCACACAGCCAAAACAAGACTAAGCACAAAGAACAAATCTGGAAGCATCACATTACCTGATTTCAAACTATGCTATAAGGCCATAGTCACCAAAACAACATGGTACTAGTATAAAAATAGCCACATAGACCAATGAAACAGAATAGATAACCCAGAAATAAAGTCAAATACTTATAGCCAACTGATCTTCAACAAAGCAAACAAAAACATAAAGTGGGGAAAGGGCACCCTATTCAACAAATGGTGCTGAGATAATTGGCAAACAAGTAGGAGAATGAAACTGGATCCTCATCTCTCACCTTATATAAAAATCAACTCAAGATGGATCAAAGACTTAAATCTAAGACATGAAGCTATAAAAATTCTAGAAGATAACATCAGAAAAATCCTTCTAGTCATTGGCTTAGGCAAGGATTTCATGATGAAGAACCCAAAAGCAAGTGCAATAAAAACAAATATAAATAGCTGGAACTTAATTAAACTAAAGAGTTTCTACACAGCAAAAGAAACAGCAGAGTAAACAGACAACCCACAGAGTGGGATAAAATCTTCACAATCTATACATCTGACAAACGACTGATATCCAGAATCTACAACGTACTCAAACAAATTAGCAAGAAAAAAATATCCCATCAAAAAGTGGGCTAAGGACATGAATAGACAATAAGCAAAAGAGGATATACAAATGGCCAACAAACATATGAAAAAATGCTTAGCATCACTAAAGATCAGGGAAATGCAAATCAAAACCACAATGTGATACCACCTTACTCCTGCAAGAATGGCCATAATAAAAAAATAATAGATTTTGGCATGGATGTGGTGAAAAGAGAAGACTTCTACACTGCTGGTGGGAATGTAAACTAGTACAACCACTATGGGAAATAGTGTGTAGATTCCTTAAAGAACTGAAAGTAGACCTACCATTTGATCCAGCAATCCCTCTATTGGGTATGTACCCAGAGGAAAAGAAGTCATTATAGAAAAAAGATATTTGCACACACATGGTTATAGCAGCACGATTCGCGATAGCAAAAACATGGAACCAACCCAAATGCCCATCAATCAATGAGTGGATAAAGAAGCTGTGATATATGATCGAATACTACTCAGCCATAAAAAGAAATTAATTAATTTGCAGCACGCTGGATGGGATTGGAGACTATTAACCTAAGTGAAGTAACTCAGGAATGGAAAACCAAACATCGTATGTTCTCAGTGGTAAGCAGGAGCTAAGCTATAAGGATGCAAAGGCATAAGAATGACACAGTGGACTTTGGGGACTCAGGGGAAAGCATGGGGAGCGGCTAAGGGATAAAAGACTATGAAATGGGTTCAATGTATACTATTCAGGTGATGAGTGTACCACGATCTCACAAATCACCACTAAAGAACTTACGTAATGAAATACCACCTGTTCCCCAAAAACCTATGGAAATAAAATTTTTTTTTTAAAAAAAGAGAAAGATATCCAATCACTTTGGGAGGCCAAGGCAGGAGGATCACTGGAGGTCAGTAGTTTTAGACCAGTCTTGCCAACACGGTGAAACCCCATCTCTACTAAAAACACACAAAAAAAAAAAAAAAAGAGGAAGAGAGACAGATCTCTCTGCCACATGAGAACATGGGGAGAAGGAGACTGACTCTCTGCAAGTCAGGAAGAAGGCCTTCAGGCAAATTGGCCAGCGCTTTGATCTTGGACTTCCCAGCCTCCAGAAGTGTGAGAAATAGATTTCTATTGCTTAAGCCAAAAAAACAAATTCGGAGGGAAAAATGTAGAGGTCTATGAGAGAAGATCTCCTGCAAATGCATAATTAACTCAGAGAAAAAGCCTAGAGTCTCCATGTTGCTCCTGTTTTAGGATTTTGAGTGATTTTGAGAACATGTTTAAAATAAATGTTTTCTGTCACATATTAAAATGGTATACTTTGAAGTGTATTTTATATTAAAGCAGAATAAAAACATGAACAGCAAAATAAAATACTGAAACACCAAATGGTATATCTGAATGCTGTTAAAAGCATGGGGACATTATTAAATAAAAAAGCTACTTTGCATGACAATATCAATGATCATAAGTATCTCTAAATATGCATAATGAAGATAGGCAAAGTTCTTATGGAGAAAATGATAAAACCTTGTTGAAGATATTAAACATGACCTAAATTGACTGGAGAGAGACACAAAGTTCATTAACTGTAATAATGTCAAATTTCCTGAAAATCTCAGAGTCTGAAATATCCCAATCAGAATGCAAACACTGTTTTTTTCTAACTTGAAAAGCTCATTTAAAAATGTACACAAAAACATAGATGAGACTGTATTTGGTGTAAAAGTTAATATAAAATGCAGCAACTGAGGCAGTGTTCTTTTGATTACGTAGTAGAAAAAGTGGACAATAAGACAGAAAAAAAAAAGCCCAAGGTCAGACCCAGACGAATGTTGGACTGTGGCATGTAAATGGGATGGTATTGCTGACCAGTGTGAAGGGGCATACTGCTCAATAATAATTATCTAGCTGACAGAATTTTTTTTGGAACACTGCCATTTTTTTAATATGTTTTATAAATTTCTGTTTAATTTATAGATAAAAATTTATGTATTTATGTGAAAATGTGATTCAAAAATATTTGTGGATACATAGATGGATATATTAATGGAATACATGAGGTATTTTTGTACAGGCATGCAATGTGTAATAGTCACATCATGGAACATTGAGTATTCATCCCCTCAAGCATTTATCCTGTCTTTGTGTTACAAATAATCCAATCATACTCTTTTAGTTAGTTTTAAAATGTACAATTATTATTAATCATGGTCCCTTGCTGTGCTAGCAAATACTAGTTCTTATTTATTCTTCCTAATTTTTTTACACCTATTAATGATCCCCAATCCACCCCTACCACCACCACAATTCTCAGCCTCTGTTAACCATCCTTCTATTCTCTATCACCATGAGTTCAATTGTTTGGATTTTCAGATTCCACAAATAAGTGAGAACATGTGATGTTTGTCTTTCTATGCCTGGCTTATGTCACTTAACAGAATAACCTCCAGTTCTATCTATGTTGTTGCAAATGACTAAATCTCATTCTCTTTTATGGCTCAATAGTATTCTGTGTATAAGTACTATATTTTCTTCATCCATTTATCTGTTGATTGACAACTAGGTTGCTTCCAAATCTTGGCTATTGGAAAGGTGCTGCAACAAACATGGGAGTGCAGATATCTCTTCAATATATTTCTTTCCCTTCTTTTGGGTATATACCCAGCGGTGGGATTGCTGGATCATATGGTAGTTCTATTTTTAGTTTTTTGAGGAACCTCCAAAGTCTTCTGCATAGCGGATATATTAATTTGCATTCTCATCAGAGGTTTATGAGGATTCCCTTTTCTCCACATTCTTGCCAGAATTTGTTGTTGCCTGTCTTTTGGATACAAACCATTTTAACTGGAGTGAGATGATGTCTCATTGTAGTTTTGATTTGCATTTCTGTGATGATCAGTGATGTTGAGCACTTTTTCATATGCCTGTTTGCCATTTGTGTGTTTTCTTTTGAGAATATCCATTCAAATCTTGCCCATTTTTAAATTGAATTAATAGCTTTTTTTCCTATAGAGTTGTTTGAGCTTCTTAAATATTCTGGTTATTAGTTCCTTGTCAGACAGATAGTTTTCAAATATTTTCTCCCATTTGGTGGGTTGTCTCTTCACTTTGTTGATTATTTCCTTTGCTCTGCAGAAGCTTGTTAACTGGATGTGATCTTCTTTGTCCATTTTTGCTTTGGTTGCCTTTGCTTGTGGGATATTACTCAAGAAAATTTTGCCCAGATCAATGTTGTGGAGAGATTCCTCAATGTTTTCTTGTAGCAGTTTCATAGTTTGAGGTCCTAGGCTTAAGTCTTTAACCCATTTGGATTTAATTTTTGTACAAGGGAGAGATAGGGATCTAATTTCTTTCTTCTGCATATCGATATCCAGTTTTCCCAGCACCATTTATTGAAGAGAATGTCTTTTCCCCAGGGTATGTTATTGGCACTCTTGTTGCAAATGAGTTCACAGTGGGTGTGTGAATTTGCTTTTCGGTTTTATATTCTGTTTCATTGGTCAGTGTGTCTATTTATATGCCAGTACCATGCTGTTTTAATTATTATAGCTCTGTAGTATAATTTGAAGTCTGGTAGTGTGGTTCCTCCAGTTTTGCTCTTTTTGTTCAGAATAGTTTTTACTATTCCAAGTCTTGTTGTAATTCTATATAAATTTTAGAATTTTTTTTCTATTTCTGTGAAGAATGTCATTGGTATTTTGATACGGATTGCATTGAACTTGTGGGTTGCTTTGGCTAGTATGAGCATTTTAACAATTTTTGCTTCTTCCAATTCGTGAACATTGAATACCTTTCCATTTTTTGGGGTCCTCTTCAATTTATTTTATTAATGTTTTATAGTTTTCATTGTAGAGATCTTTCACTTTTTTGGTTAATTCCTAGGCATTTAATTTTGTGTCTATTGTAAATAGGATTACTTTTGTGATTTCTTTTTCCTATTCACTGTTGGCATATAGAAATGCTACTAATTCTTGTGAACTTTGTATCCTGCAACTTTACTGAATTTGTTTATAAGTTCTCATAGTTTTTTGGTAGTCTTTAGGATTTTGCAAATGTAAGATAATATTATCTGCAAACAGGATAATTTGATTTCTGTTTTCCAATTTTGGATGCCCTTTATATCTTTCTCTTATCTGATTGCTCTCTTAGAACTTCCAGTACTATGTTGAATAACAGTGGTAAAAGTTGGCATCCTCATTGTGTTCCAGATCTTAGAGGAAATGCTTTCAGTTCTTCCCCATTCAGTATGATACTAGCTGTGGGTTTGTTATATGTGGCTTTTATTATTTTGAGGTATGTTCCTTCTATCTTCAGTTTTCTTAGGTTTTGACCATGGAGAGATATTGAACATTATCGAATGCTTTTTCAGAATCGATTAAAATAATCATATGGTTTTTGTCCTTCATTCTGTTGATATGATGTATGATATTGATTTGCATATTTTGAACCATTCTTGCATCCCAGGGATAAATCCCACTTGGTCATGACTAATGATCCTTCTAATGTGTTGTTGAATCTGATATGCTAGTATTTTGTTGAGGATTTTTACATCAATATTCATCAGGGATATTGACCTGTAGTTTTCTTTTTTTGATGTGTTTTTGTCTGGTTTTGGTATCAGGGTAACACTGGCCTCATAGAATGAGTTTGAAAGTAATTCTTCCTGCTGTATTGGAACAATTTGAGTGGGATTGGTATTAATTCTTCTTTTAAGGTTTGGTAGAATTCAGCAGTGAAACCATCAGTTCCCATGCTTTTTTTTTACCGGTAGATGTTTTATGAGTGTCTATCTCACTATTTGTTATCGGTATG
This sequence comes from Homo sapiens, assembly GCF_000001405.40. Classification (NCBI taxonomy): domain Eukaryota; kingdom Metazoa; phylum Chordata; class Mammalia; order Primates; family Hominidae; genus Homo; species Homo sapiens. The sequence continues at coordinate 239,075,260 of NC_000001.11, read as the reverse complement.
TTCAGGTTTTGGATTTTTTCCTGGTTCAGTCTTGGTATGTTGTATGCATCTGGAAATTTATCCATTCCTTTTTGATATTTCCAATTCATTGGCATATAGTTGCTCATAGTAGCCACTAATTATCCTTTGAATTTCTGCAGTATCAACTGTAATGTCTCCTTTTCACCTCTGATTTTATTTATTTGGGTCTTCTCTCTTTTTTTTTTCTTTGTTAGTCTGGCTAATGGTTTTTCAGTTTTGTTTATCTTTTTGAAAAACAAACTTTTTGTTTCATTGATCTTTTGGATTGTTTTATTTATTTCAAACTTATTTATTTCTACTCTCATGTTTTTTATTTCTTCTATTAATTTTGGATTTGGTTTGCTCTTGCTTTTCCAGTTCTTTAAGATGCATCATTAGGTTATTTATTTAAAGTTTTTCTTTTTTTCTGATGTAGGCCCTTACAGCTCTAAACTCCCCTATTAGTACTGCTTTTGCTGTATCCCAGAGGTTTTGGTAGGCTGTGTTTCCATTATCATTGTTTTAAGAAAAGTTTCAATTTCCTTCTTAATTTCTTCTGTGATCAACTGGTCATTCAGGAGCATATTTTTAAGTTCCCATGTGTATAGTTTCCAAAATTCCTCTTGTTATTGATTTCTAGTTATAGTCTATTGTGGCCAGAGAAGATGCTTGATATTGTTTCATTTTTTGAATGTTTTAAGACTTGTTTTTTGACATAACATATGGTCTGTCCTTGAGAATGCTCCATGTGCTGAGGAGAAAAATGTGTATTCTCTACCATTGAATGAAATGTTCTGTAAATATCTATTAGGTCCATTTGTTCAGTAGTGCAGATTAAATCTGATGTTTGTTAATTTTCTGTCTGGGAGGTCTGTCCAATGCTTAAGGTGAGGTGTTGCAGTCTACAGCTATTATTGTATTGGTGTCTATCTCTTTTTAGCTCTAACAATATTTGCTTTATATATTTGGATGTTCCAGTATTGGGTGCATATATAAACAATCATTATATCTCTTGCTGAATTGACCACTTTATCATTATATAAGGAACTTCTTTGTCTCTTACAGTTTTTGTCTTGAAGTCTATTTTGTCTGATATAAGAATAGCTACTTCTGCTGTCTTTTGGTTTCCATTGGCATGGAATATCTTTTTCTATCCCTTTATTTTTAGTCTATGTGCATGTTTATAGGTGGACTGCATTTCGTGCGGGCAATAGATCAATGGGTCTTGTTTATTTTTATCCACTCAGCCATTCTATGTATTTTTATCGGAGAGTTTATTCCATTTACTTTTAATGTTATTAGTGATAAATACAGATTTACTCCTTTCATTCATTATTTGTTTTCTGGTTATTTTGCAACCTTCTCTTCCTTCTTTCCTTTCTTCCTGTCTTCCTTTTGGTGAAGGTGATTTTCTCTGGTGATATAATTTAGTTTCTTGTTTTTTATTTTTTGTATATCTGTTGTATGTTTTTTGATTTGAGTTTTCCATGAGGGTTGCAAATACAACCCATTATTTTAAACTGATGACAACTTACCACTAATTGCATAAACAAACTGATATGCAGAAATAAAACTAATAAAAACTCCACACTTTATCTTTATCTTCCTACTTTTTAACTTTTTGTTGTTTCTCTGTATGTCTTATTGTACTGTCTGTATTTTAAAAAGTTGTTGTAGTTATCATTTTAGATTGGTTCATAGTTTAGTTTTTCTACTTAAGAATAGTTTACACACCACAAGAAGAGTGTTATATTAGTCTGTGTTTTTTTGTGTGCTTACTATTACCAGTCAGTTGTATACGTTCCCATGATTTCTTATAGCTCACTATTATCTTTTTCTTTCAGATCGAAGAACTCGCTTTAGCATTTCTTGTAGAAAAGGTCTCGGATTGATTAAATCCCTCAGCTTTTGCTTCTCTAGGAAAGTCTTTATTTCTTCATACTTAAGAGATATTTTATCAGATATATGATTCTAGGGTAAAAGTTTTTTTCCTTCAGCACATTAAATATGTCACACCACTGTCTCCTAGCCTGCTGGCCTGTAAAGTTTCCCTGAAAAGTCTGCTGCCAGACATATTGGAACTCCACTGTATGTTATTTGTTTCTTTTTTCTTGCTGTGTTTAGGGTCCTTTCTTTATCTTTGACCATTGGGAGTTTAATTATTAAATGCCTTGAGGTAGTCTTCTTTGGGTTAAATCTGTTTGGTATTCTATAACCTTCTGGCACTTGAATGTGGATATCTTTCTCTAGGTTTAGGAAGTTCTCTGATATTATTCCTTTGAATAAGCTTTCTACCTCTATATTTTTGTTACCTCCTCTTTATGTCCAAGAGCTGTTAGATTAACCCCTTTGAGGCTATTTTCTAGATCTTGTAGGTGTGCTTCATTGTTTTTATTATTTTATTTTGTCTCATCTGAATGGTATTTTCAAATAGTCTGTCTTAAAACACGCTAATTTTTTTTCTTGATCAATTCTCTATTAAGAGATTCTGATGCATTCTTCAGCATGTCAATTGCAATTTTCAGTTCTAGAATGTGTGATTCTTTTAAATTATTTCAATCTTTTTGTTAAATTTTTCTGACAGAATTGTGAATTTCTTCTGTGTTATCTTAAATTTCTTTGAATTTTCTCAAAACAGCTATTTTGAATTCTCTGTCTGATACATCATATATCTCTGTTTCTCTAGGATTGGACCATGCTGCATTATTTACTTCATTTGGCAAGGCCATGTTTTTGTGAATGGTGTTGATGCTTGTAGATGTTTGTCTGTGTCTGGGCATTGATGAGTTAGGTATTTGTTGTAGTCTTCACAGTCTGAGCTTGTTTGTGCCTGTCCTTCCTGGGAAGGCTTTGTGGGTATTCAAAGAGACTTAAGCTGCAAACCCAATAAGTATATGTTTTGCAGACTTGTAGAAGTACCACCTTGGTGATCTTGTGTAAGATCCAGAATAATTCTCATGACTACCAAGCAGAGACTTTTGTTCTTTCTGTTGCTTTCTCCCAAACAAATGGAGTTTCTCTCTCTGTGCTGGGCCACCTGGAACTAAGTGTGTGGTGATGCAAGCACCCCTGTGGCCATCACCACTGGGACTCTGCTGGGTCAAACCTGAAACCTGCACAGCACTGGACTTTGCCTAAGTTCCTTCCCTTCAAGGGGAGTGAGATTCCCCAGGCCCTGTATGTGTCCAGAGATGCTGTCTGAGAGCTAGGGATTCGAGTCAAAAACCTTAGCAATTTACCTGATGTTCTAGTCTACTGTGACTAAGCTGATACTCAAACCACAATACAAAACCCTTCATACTCTTTCCTCCACTTTCCACAAGCAGTGGTTGCCACAGCCACAGCTGATCCACAGGTCGTTCTGACAAGATATATTTAATAGGATTCTCCCACACAATACACAAAAAGGAGTAATTTGCCTAAGTCAAAGACAAATGTGAAAGGCAAAATTTCAAAGTTTCAGCAGAAAATTAACTGAGTTATGGAGATTTCCTAAACCAAACAAAGTAGCAAAAACTTTTAAAGGAAGTATTTATAAATCTAGTTACATTCAAAGTAAAATTTCTGTTCAAAAATTAAATCATATGAAGAATATATAAACTTTTAAAACTCAATAAGGAAGTGACAATAAGTCTAGAAGATGAAATAGCGGAAGACATGCTCAGACATTTCATAGAAGACATAGCAATGACTCATAAACAAATGAAAATGCTCACAATATCAAGAGTCATCAGAGAAATGCAAACTTAAAATAAAAATGAGATACCTGTTTATATCTAATATATTGAAAGAAACTTAAAAATATGAAAATGATAGGTATGTGGAATAGTAGACGATTTGAAATCTGCCTGTGGGAATGTAGATTGGTACATTCTTTTTGAAAAGCCTGATGATATTACCTAGTAATTTGCACATGATCTAACACAGACCTAGAAATTTAGCTACTAAATATATACCCTCTGGAAACCATTTTCATATTCACAAGAAGAATATGAACATAGTAATATTGTTGATTGTAAGAAAAAATTGGAAACCACCTACTGTCTGTTAATGGAAAAATAGATATACCCATTTGGGCAAATTCTTAAAATGGAACTGTGCACAACAGTGAAATTGAATGAAATATAGCTACAGAAGTTAACAGACCCTCAGAAGCATAATATTGAATAAAATTCAATAAAATAAAGCAAGTCAGTGGAGAATCTATACATTTGTATTTACCAAGCTTTGAATACAAACCAAACTAAACAATATCTCATTTAAGGATACAAACTAGGGAGACAAACAACAATGAAAAAAATGACAAGTACAGAGCACAAAGTAATGGATAGCTTCGGTGGGTAGAAAGGACAATTAAATTGGGGAGAAGCACTCAAAGGGCATCAACAATATTGCTAATGTTCTGTTTTATAAGCTAAATAGTGTCTTTCAATGTATGTTTATGAAATATACTATCTGGAATAATAAATAAAACACAGCTAGTCATAGAAAATTTGAGTTTTGAGGTGGAGCACTCTCGAGCATGGGATGATGACATAATGATTTAGTTTTGTATATTTATTTGTGATGATGGTAAAATAATTAATTGGATAACACAGTTCATATTGTTAACCTGAAGACTTTGGTGATGTCAAGAAAATTTATATAGATTTAGTGAACATCACCATAAAGTTGATAGGACACCATGAGAGCCCCTGAGCCTGCCTCTCTTCCTTCTCCCTGCACATTGCATGGCTAGCTCCTTCAAGGTCTTCAAATTCCAACTCCTCCGAGAGCTCCGACCTGTCTAAGCTGTTCACATGTGTTCTTTCCTTCTAATTATTTGCTTAGCTTCTAATTTGATTGTATCATAGCATCATTCTCAGGTTATTTCATATTTTTGTTTGATCATTTACCTGTATGTTATCTCCATATTCCTCTAGACAATAAGCTCTAACAAAGAAGAAAATGTCTATTTCACTTGTAGTTGAACACCTAAATCAAAGCCTTATGTATAGACATTTCTGCATAAACGTTTGCTGAATAAGAGAATGATGACTGTGATAAACCAATAAACACCAAGAACAAAGAGCTGACTTTTTCACTTCCACACATCAATGGGAGCAAGTCCAAACTAAGTCCCTGAAGGGTGGAGTTTTCCTCAGTGAAATTGATGTGCCTTTGTTTTATGGAAAATCCAGCACCCAAAAGTCACAAGAGATTAGACACCAGCCATTTTTAATTGCTTCCTTGTATAATATACTCTCTTGTGGACTGAGGTTAATGGCATGCTCTATGAGATCCTGCTGGAATAACAGGGTCACTGGCAGTACTCTTTTCCCATGACTTTACCAGAGTTGCTGCCACTTTTATATCTAATTTTGTTTTCAAGAAGAAGGTTAGAATATTGAACTCCAGAGTATATCATGCTTACCTTCTTATTCCATTAGTACTTGTGTGCTCTTAATTCCCTGCACCCACAAGCAAGGCTGTCCACAAACCATATCACAGACTATAACAGGACATTCCTTTGTATCTGCATGAGGGCCTCAGTATTCATAGTCCAGAGTAGCAAGCCCATAACTTCCCTGAAAGAAGCAAATTTGGACTAAAAGTAAAAACGCAGACCACATAGTCACCACAATAATTACTACATCAATTTACTAAGAAAAACACCAGGATTCAGAATTTGGGGAATTATCCCAGACTTTCACTGATTGCTGTCAGTGTTGGTTGGTTCATCACAGTCTTCATTTATTTGTTTGGTTGTGATTGTCCTCCTCCAGTGAGATCCCTTTACCTGTTACCTAAACTAGTAACTTCTAGTTGATCTGTTGTGCTGAACGAGGCAACAGAGGTGCTGATCATATAGATGATTACACTAGATGATCTGATGACCTATCAATCTCCATGGCTAGAAAGATTGAGCTTAACATTTTCTAATTCAATATGGACTTTGAATATGACAGCATAATTCTCAAGATAAATACTTGTTCTATTTTAATTTTACTATGCTATAGATATTAATATGTATTTATAAAATGAACTCCATGCATTATGAATTTTTTTAAAAAATAGAACTCCATAATTATGTTATATTAAAACATTAAGGTCTATCTTTTTACTTCATTCACTTTTTTTTTTTTTACTCAGCCAATGTTATAAAATAAAAATGGATTTCTTTTTCCTGTTGGAACTGGAGAGAGAGAAGAGCTTTGAATTTGTCCTATTCTATTGCATTTATTAGTAATTGGTATATGGCTTGCATTTATATATACATTAAGCAATGCAAAAATACAATGTGGGTAACTTGTTTTGGTGAAAAAATAAGTTATTTTCTCAGCTTATCACAATTTATGTACTAATTTTGATGTAATCCTAGAAATATTCTGATTGGCATTCAATTCATGTAAGTTGAAAGCAACACAAAAGTTTTCACCAAATGTTTGCATTACTATACAAAGTCGAGGATGTGACAATTGCTCAGTAATGTTACATGACTACCTTTCTAATAATAATTTCATTTTTCTTGATTTTATGCTTGTTTCTGGGTTACTAATGTTTTATCTCAGGACACTGTAACTGTTTTACAGGTGAGGAAATGGAATTGAATGGAAGTTAAGCAATGTGCCCAAAGCTGACATAATTATTTGTAGAGCTAAAATTCAAAACCAGGTCTGTAAACTTCAGAGCTAGAGCATTTATCCAATATGTTATATAACAGGGGTTCAATAAATCTTTGTTATATTTAAGTGAATTTTTCTACCCAAGAATCAAAATATCAAATTTTAAGCTGAAAGGATTAAAGAAGTGAATTCAGAATTTGAAAGAATGGCAGAATTAATGGTCACATTATAATGAACATTATATCTTTGTATGTGGGGTGTGTTTGTGTGCATCTTCATATTTCGCAGCCCCCAAAATTCAGAGCCTTTTTCCAATAAATATCTAAAAGGCGATGATGAAAAGTGTAAGCAGCAAGCCAAAAAGCATTTGGTGCCGATGATTCCAAAAGGCAAAGAAACAAAATTACTTTGAAATGAAAATATTCACATCCTTTAAATGTGTTCTCATAGTTCCCAAGTGGACTAATAATTTGCTTGATTTCTTTCTTTTACTCTGAAGCTGCTGATGAATTGATTGAAAATCATGTGTACAATACAGCAGGTGTTTCTTGTTTTTGTTTTGTGATAATACTCATAAAGAGGTAGTGAAAAGAATTACGAAATGAAGACAACCTGAGGATAATGAACAGAGCTTCTTTTCCCACAACTGGCGCTCTGTGTTCTCAAAAGCATTATAGCTGCGTGAACCACATACTGAGAAAACAAAAAGCTGGAAATAAGCTAACATTGAAGTCTGTGTTTTGAAACATCTAACTTGATGAAAAAATATATTTATTCATTTTATTTCATTTACTTGAAATTTTATTTCTGTTTTGGGGTTTTTATTTTCAAAAACCTGCTCATTTTAATTATTTCTGTGATGATCATATCTTCTACACCAAAAAAAAATGTATCCTCACCTTCCTACAAAACATACATGCACACACAGACAGGCACACAAATAAATGCACACACCTAAATACATGTACACATGCTTACAACTACACAGACATAAAAAGCAAACACATAGGCACACACATAAACCTCCCCCCAACAGATGCATACATATTCACACATGCTCACTAGATTAGATACATACATATTCACATGTGCTCACTAGATTGGGAAAATCACCTTGATATAAATATAATTTATAATTGTTTAACAGCTTTACATTTTAAAAGTATCAACTACTCTAGTAAATGACAAAGAGGCCTTAGAATAAAAACTTTTAATTTCAGATTGTTCACCTACTTTTTTTAAAAAATTAAAATTTGGCACATATACAGGAAAAACAAAATGAACCTCAAATGTAGGCTTTTTTTAAAAAAAATGAGGCCAACAATTGTCTAAACCTTATCAAAGTCAAGAAATAGAATACTTTCAGAGCCCCAGAACTGCTGACTCTTTTCTCTCCTTATAAGTAACAACAATCTTGAAATTGTGGTCAGTATTTTCTTTCTTTTTTATATAGTTTCACTGTGTACAGATGTTTGAATAATAGTGACAGTGTAGTCTCATTTTGACATTTATATTTCTTTCATAGACTATATATTTTTTGTATTAATCTCGTTCCCTTAGTGGTATATATGTGTGATTTATCCACATAGTTGCATTTTTCCTGTTAATTTCCATACCAGTCAATGCTAAGACTAAACTATATTATTTATCCATTCTGTTGTGTTTGGATATTTGGATTGTTCCTAATTTTAAGTTATTATGACATAGCTGTGAACATTTTTTTAACCTGTCTCTTAGTGTTGCTGTGCCTGCAATCCCCTGGGTAAATAACTAAGAAAGGAATTACTCAATCATAGGCAAATTTACCATGTAAGTTATTGTACACATAGGGACATTTTGAGAGTTAAAGGGCGTTATCAAATACTTGACATTATGTAAATCAAACTGGTATTTACTAACTTATTTGGAGTGAATGTCTGTGACTCCAAAATTCACATGTTGAAATCCTAAACCCCAGTGGGGTGCTATTAGAAGGTGGGGAATAGGGGAGTTTTTAGGTCATGAGGGTGGAATTCTCATGAATGGGATTAATGCCCTTATAAAAAGGAACTCAGAGAGCTCTCTTGACTTCTTTCTACCATGTAAGGATACAGCAAAAAGACAGTAGTCTTCTGAGTGAAGAGGCCTTCACTAGAACCCAACCATGCTATATCCTGATCTTGGAATTTCAGCCTCCAAAACTGTGAGAAATAAATATCTGTTATTTATAAACCACCCAGTCTATGGTACTCTGTTATAGTAGCTTGAATTAAGATATTGACTGATAAATTGATTATTAATATATTGGCTTGCCAACTCAATAGTCTTATCCTAAAAGTGTTTTCAGAGATCAAATTATGTCTAAAATATAATAACATTTGTCTACACTGAAGACAATTAGGACAAAGTCCACTCATTTAAATGGGCTTATGATAAATGAAATAGTTAATCAAGTATTAGAGATATTAACTTATACTAATCAATTGAGTCATCACCATTTGTGTATTAAATGTATTTTTTTCAACTTGGTCTTACTATTTTTGGACTTTTTTTCATAAAATTGTTTTAAGTTTGAAATTTGATCTTGTGGGTTAATAAATTTCAAAATTTTTGACTCATCTATAATTGAGAAAAATATTATCTTCACAGATATTGATATAAATTCTACACTCAGAGAAACTTTTGCTCTCTGGAGAATATTGTGTATTGAAAATTTTTAATACTGTATGCTAAATATTTTTACAGATATTGTCCTTCTATGTATACCTTTCTTAGTTTAATTAGGAAAAAGCAATTAAAATAAATTGCTTCGTTTATGCTGCAAAATCATAGGCCTTCCTAATTTCATTTCATTCTAGTAAATATATCCATTTATTTTATTAAACATAGAAACTCCAACAAAAATTTTCTCTGCAAGTCAAGATATTATAGAAAGGGATTATAAAATTGAGAAATGAAATCATATAACACGTTGCATGTCCTTTGTTTAATCTGTTCAGTTTCTCTCTTGACTTTGTCATATATTTCTGCTTACGTATTTTGTTTTCAATGGTTCAGTAGAAACTTCAAACATTTTGGTACTACATTTATAGAAAAAATTTATTAAATATTTTTACTGGTTTTGCAAAAACAAAGGATACTCATCTTTAGAGTACCCACATACCAAAAAAAAAGCTCAATACAATTGTCACATGTTTAAGTTGATTTATGAAATAATTCTTCACATGTTCAGACATTTGTAAAATCCAATGAGTGGAGCACATTGCCATGCTGAAAAATGATTTTTTGGTTTGTTTCCAACATCAACTTTATCATAAAAATGTTGTAGTTTAGTTACTCAAATTGTGTGTGTGATAAAAAAAAAAAAAAGACAAACAGAGTTTCTATTTAGCCATTGGGATATTATAACTTGCTTACATGCAATTATGAATTTTGTATGCATTGCAAATCCAAGTACATTTCTGCTTCCCAGGTTTGTTGAATTAGCAAGAAAATCGTGTTTACCGTGATGCTGTATTCCATCAAAATTTATATTTTTATTATTACCACAAAATGAGTAATTTTACTATTATTCAGTGTTAAACTTTTTGATAAACTTATGAAAATATTTATTGTAAAGTTGGATGTTTCACCTTTGTCAGAATGAACTCCTAAATAATTTTATCTTTCCTCTACTTCATGAATGAAAATTTTAAAAATGTAAAAACAATGTTATTGGAATAAACTTAACCAATTTGTATTCAAAGCATTTGATGAAATTGATAAAACCAGCAATCTTTTAACTATAAAGTTTTTCTACCAATGAAGTTAATACCTTAACAGTTATTACTTCACTTTTTAATAATTCACAATAGAACATGGACGCAAGCAGAATTTATTTAAGAAATAGTCGTTTGATCTAAATGAAAAATTCAAGCTTCACAGACTTACATGGTTTACATGTAAATGCATCTTCTTTATTTTTATGTGTTAAATAATCATTTTGAGGGCAGCCTTGTTAAATGTACTAACTTTAAAGTGGATGTTGAGTTTCCTTCAACAGAGTTATGTCATATTGTTTTTTTAATGTGGACAGCAATGTTACTATAGCACATAGGAAGATTGTAAGTATTCATAAATATTTTTAAAAAGTTTCTCTAAACGTTCTATGAAATGGAAATTTCAGACTTAATGTTTTATTTATATTACTCTCAGCTCATACGTAACTTTTGACATTGAGTCATTTCTCTTGAAAGGGGTTGGTCCCACATATCAAGCAATCAAATACGTAAAATAAATAGTTGAAGATATACGGCATATGATAAATACTAAAAGAACTGTAGCGAGAATATTGAAATTGTTTTTAGAACTCTATGGCGGGATGTCCCAGTCTCTATTTCCCACACGTGTCACTTCTATCTTAACTATCATTCCCTGCATTTCCCACTGACCTCACCAATGGGTTGCCTATAAGCTTTTGACTCTTGCAGGTTGCAGTACTGGTTCAGGGAGAACTAGCTGGTAAGCAAAGTGGCTGCAAGGGCACCGATATTAAACACCACTCCGACCACTGCCCTAGACCAGAAGGACTTAGCTGCACTGGTTATTATCAGTGAATTCACTTTATACTGTTACTGAAAGTGAGGTATTAGCTATAGTGTATCTGGAAAGAGTTGAGAACTAGAGATTAGTTCTCACTTATTATTTTTTTTCAGATTTCAGCATGTGTTCACATAAGAATTTTGTTTTCTGCTAATGTGTCTCATATACTGGTGGAAAAGAGCATATGAGAAGCTGAAAATACAAAGTGGAGTTTTCTCCAGTCCATCTGGATTATTTAAGTGCAACAATTAATAAAAATTATTGTTAAAAATGAAAAAAATACTGGGGCAAGTACCAAATGAGGTGGAATGTTAGGACTACAAATGACTTGAGACTGTGGGCAGACTAGGTTTATGTGTATCATCAGCATTCATAGATAATTCCAGAGTATTCCCAAGTGTATGTATAAGTATTCCCTTTGCATTATATATTTTTTTGAAGTAGTGAAATGGGACTTATCTCATTTAGGGTTTTGTTTTTAAAGTTCATTAAATAATATATGTCTTATTTTTATTCTCCATCTCACCTCTCCAGTTTCCTTTATGTTATCAAAGAAAAACACACTTTTAAATTAAATTTATCAATATAGACTTCAAAGCATTAAGAGGTACCAGTTAGTACAATGCTTTAAAGCTAGGCAAAATGATTAATAATATCAATTATTGGCAAGTGTATAAAATAGAACAGCTTTTTTGAGAACAATTTCACAGTATATATTCCAGTTACAAATATATATCTTTCATAAAAGCATTGGCCTCGTTGCTGTTTATCCCAGAGAACTACTTATCCATAACCCAGAGGCTGCTTCAAACATTTGGTTAAGAGCTATAATATGATGATTTAATACCGATAAAACCACTTATATGCAATATTTGAAATGAGTTATGTTGGCTAGATTTTTGTTTTAGGAATGGAAAGATAGCCAATGTAAATTTTTTAGTGAAAAAACAAAGTGCAGAAGATACATTTACAGAAATACAGAAGAGCAGATTTACCACAAAGGAAATGACGTGTAAAATGCAGAGAGCCCTTCACTTGCATGGGGCTTCGTCAAGCCTTTAGACCAAATTTTTCTTCACTCTCCACAAAACCTAAACGTCTCCTAAAAACATGAAAATTATAGCCACATATGTGAAAAAAAAGGTTCTCATAAACAAATGCATATTCCTCTATGTTCGTGTGTGTA